>NC_000001.11:207730041-207881556 GCF_000001405.40 Homo sapiens
CAAGGCAACTGCAAATTCAGTGTGTGGTGGGACTCACTTTCTAGTTAATAGACTTCAATCTTTTCTTTGTGTCCTCACCTCAGAGAAAAGCAGTGAGGGTGCTCTTGCGGGTCTCTTTTCTAAGGGAACTAGTCCCATTCACAAGGGGTCTTTGAGAAGTAATTAGATACTATAAATTTTCAACATATAAATTTGGAAGGATTCAAACATTCAGTCCATTGTACAAACACTGAATTTGATAAGCACATCTGCTTAAATGATATCACATGTGTTGATTTCATGTGCTTTTCCACCTTTGTTTCTAAATTCCGTTAACCCATCTCTGAATTCATTCAACCAAGACTCTCTCCCAGACAACTCTAGTCCAAAATAATGTCTGTCTTTGAAACTCACATTTCCTGACTATACTATTTTAAAAATAAACTGGGAGGAGCCAAGATGGCCGAATAGGAACAGCTCCAGTCTACAGCTCCCAGCGTGAGCGACGCAGAAGACGGGTGATTTCTGCATTTCCATCTGAGGTACCAGGTTCATCCCACTAGGGAGTGCCAGACAGTGGGCGCAGGTCAGTGGGTGCGCGCACCGTGCACGAGCCGAAGCAGGGTGAGGCATTGCCTCACTCGGGAAGTGCAAGGGGTCAGGGAGTTCCCTTTCCTAGTCAAAGAAAGGGGTGACGGATGGCACCTGGAAAGTCGAGTCACTCCCACCCGAATACTGCGCTTTTCCGACGGGCTTAAAAAACGGCGCACCACGAGATTATATCCCACACCTGGCTCGGAGGGTCCTACGCCCACGGAGTCTCGCTGACTGCTAGCACAGCAGTCTGAGATCAAACTGCAAGGCGGCAGCAAGGCTGGGGGAGGGGCGCCCGCCATTGCCCAGGCTTGCTTAGGTAAACAAAGCAGCCAGGAAGCTCGAACTGGGTGGAGCCCACCACAGCTCAAGGAGGCCTGCATGCCTCTGTAGGCTCCACTTCTGGGGGCAGGGCACAGACAAACAAAAAGACAGCAGTAACCTCTGCAGACTTAAATGTCCCTGTCTGACAGTTTTGAAGAGAGCAGTGGTTCTCCCAGTACGCAGCTGGACATCTGAGAAGGGGCAGACTGCCTCCTCAAGTGGGTGCCTGACCCCTGACCCCCGAGCAGCCTAACTGGGAGGCACCCCCCAACAGGGGCACACTGACACCTCACACTGCAGGGTACTCCAACAGACCTGCAGCTGAGCGTCCTGTCTGTTAGAAGGAAAACTAACAAACAGAAAGGACATCCACACCAAAAACCCATCTGTACATCACCATCATCAAAGACCAAAAGTAGAGAAAACCACAAAGATGGGGAAAAAACAGAACAGAAAAACTGGAAACTCTAAAAAGCAGAGCGCCTCTCCTCCTCCAAAGGAACGCAGTTCCTCACCAGCAATGGAACAAAGCTGGACAGAGAATGACTTTGACGAGCTGAGAGAAGAAGGCTTCAGACGATCAAATTACTCTGAGCTACGGGAGGACATTCAAACCAAAGGCAAAGAAGTTGAAAACTTTGAAAAAAATTTAGAAGAATGTATAACTAGAGTAACCAATACAGAGAAGTGCTTAAAGGAGCTGATGGAGCTGAAAACCAAGGCTCGAGAACTACGTGAAGAATGCAGAAGCCTCAGGAGCCGATGCGATCTACTGGAAGAAAGGGTATCAGCAATGGAAGATGAAATGAATGAAATGAAGCGAGAAGGGAAGTTTAGAGAAAAAAGAATAAAAAGAAACGAACAAAGCCTCCAAGAAATATGGGACTATGTGAAAAGACCAAATCTATGTCTGATTGGTGTACCTGAAAGTGATGGGGAGAATGGAACCAAGTTGGAAAACACTCTGCAGGATATTATCCAGGAGAACATCCCCAACCTAGCAAGGCAGGCCAACGTTCAGATTCAGGAAATACAGAGAACGCCACAAAGATACTCCTCGAGAAGAGCAACTCCAAGACACATAATTGTCAGATTCACCAAAGTTGAAATGAAGGAAAAAATGTTAAGGGCAGCCAGAGAAAAGGTCGGGTTACCCTCAAAGGGAAGCCCATCAGACTAACAGCGGATCTCTCGGCAGAAACCCTACAAGCCAGGAGAGAGTGAGGGCCAATATTCAACATTCTTAAAGAAAAGAATTTTCAACCCAGAATTGCATATCCAGCCAAACTAAGCTTCATAAGTGAAGGAGAAATAAAATACTTTACAGACAAGCAAATGCTGAGAGATTTTGGCACCACCAGGCCTGCCTTAAAAGAGCTCCCGAAGGAAGCGCTAAACATGGAAAGGAACAACCGGTACCAGCCACTGCAAAATCATGCCAAAATGTAAAGACCATCGAGACTAGGAAGAAACTGCATCAACTAACGAGCAAAATAACCAGCTAACATCATAATGACAGGATCAAATTCACACATAACAATATTAACTTTAAATGTAAATGGACTAAATGCTCCAATTAAAAGACACAGACTGGCAAATTGGATAAAGAGTCAAGACCCATCAGTGTGCTGTATTCAGGAAACCCATCTCACATGCAGAGACACACATAGGCTCAAAATAAAAGGATGGAGGAAGATCTACCAAGCAAATGGAAAACAAAAAAAGGCAGGGGTTGCAATCCTAGTCTCTGATAAAACAGACTTTAAACCAACAAAGATCAAAAGTGACAAAGAAGGCCATTACATAATGGTAAAGGGATCAATTCAACAAGAAGAGCTAACTATCCTAAATATATATGCACCCAACACAGGAGCACCCAGATTCATAAAGCAAGTCCTGAGTGACCTACAAAGAGACTTAGACTCCCACACATTAATTATGGGAGACTTTAACACCCCACTGTCAACATTAGACAGATCAACGAGACAGAAAGTCAACAAGGATACCCAGGAATTGAACTCAGCTCTGCACCAAGCAGACCTAATAGACATCTACAGAACTCTCCACCCCAAATCAACAGAATATACATTTTTTTCAGCACCACACCACACCTATTCCAAAATTGACCACATACTTGGAAGTAAAGCTCTCCTCAGCAAATGTAAAAGAACAGAGATTATAACAAACTATCTCTCAGACCACAGTGCAATCAAACTAGAACTCAGGATTAAGAATCTCACTCAAAACCACTCAACTACATGGAAACTGAACAACCTGCTCCTGAATGACTACTGGGTACATAACGAAATGAAGGCAGAAATAAAGATGTTCTTTGAAACCAACGAGAACAAAGACACAACATACCAGAATCTCTGGGACGCATTCAAAGCAGTGTGTAGAGGGAAATTTATAGCACTAAATGCCCACAAGAGAAAGCAGGAAAGATCCAAAATTGACACCCTAACATCACAATTAAAAGAACTAGAAAAGCAAGAGCAAACACATTCAAAAGCTGGCAGAAGGCAAGAAATAACTAAAATCAGAGCAGAACTGAAGGAAATAGAGACACAAAAAACCCTTCAAAAAATTAATGAATCCAGGAGCTGGTTTTTTGAAAGGATCAACAAAATAGATAGACCGCTAGCAAGACTAATAAAGAAAAAAAGAGAATAATCAAATAGATGCAATAAAAAATGATAAAGGGGATATCACCACCAATCCCACAGAAATTCAAACTACCATCAGAGAATACTACAAACACCTCTATGCAAATAAACTAGAAAATCTAGAAGAAATGGATACATTCCTCAACACATACACCCTCCCAAGACTAAACCAGGAAGAAGTTGAATCTCTGAATAGACCAATAACAGGATCTGAAATTGTGGCAATAATCAATAGCTTACCAACCAAAAAGAGTCCAGGACCAGACGGATTCATAGCCGAATTCTACCAGAGGTACAAGGAAGAACTGATACCATTCCTTCTGAAACTATTCCAATCAATAGAAAAAGAGGGAATCCTCCCTAACTCATTTTATGAGGCCAGCATCATTCTGATACCAAAGCCGGGCAGAGTCACAACCAAAAAAGAGAATTTTAGACCAATATCCTTGATGAACATTGATGCAAAAGTCCTCAATAAAATACTGGCAAAACGAATCCAGCAGCACATCAAAAAGCTTATCCACCATGATCAAGTGGGCTTCATCCCTGGGATGCAAGGCTGGTTCAATATACGCAAATCAATAAATGTAATCCAGCATATAAACAGAGCCAAAGACAAAAACCACATGATTATCTCAATAGATGCAGAAAAGGCCTTTGACAAAATTCAACAACCCTTCATGCTAAAAACTCTCAATAAATTAGGTATTGATGGGACGTATTTCAAAATAATAAGAGATATCTATGACAAACCCACAGCCAATATCATACTGAATGGGCAAAAACTGGAAGCATTCCCTGTGAAAACTGGCACAAGACAGGGATGCCCTCTCTCACCACTCCTATTCAACATAGTGTTGGAAGTTCTGGCCAGGGCAATTAGGCAGGAGAGGGAAATAAAGGGTAGTTAATTAGGAAAAGAGGAAGTCAAATTGTCCCTGTTTGAAGATGACATGATTGTATATCTAGAAAACCCCATTTTCTCAGCCCAAAATCTCCTTAAGCTGATAAGCAACTTCAGCAAAATCTCAGGATACAAAATCAATGTACAAAAATCACAAGCATTCTTATACACCAACAACAGACAAACAGAGAGCCAAATCATGAGTGAACTCCCATTCACAATTGCTTCAAAGAGAATAAGATACCTAGGAATCCAACTTACAAGGGATGTGAAGGACCTCTTCAAGGAGAACTACAAACCACTGCTCAAGGAAATAAAAGAGGATACAAACAAATGGAAGAACATTCCATGCTCATGGGTAGGAAGAATCAATATTGTGAAAATGGCCATACTGCCCAAGGTAATTTACAGATTCAATGCCATCCCCATCAAGCTACCAATGCCTTTCTTCACAGAATTGGAAAAAAACTACTTTAAAGTTCATATGGAACCAAAAAAGAGTCCATATAGCCAAGACAATCCTAAGCAAAAAGAACAAAGCTGGAGACATCAAGCTACCTGACTTCAAACTATACTACAAGGCTACAGTAACCAAAACAGCATGGTACTGATACCAAAACAGAGATATAGATCAATGGAACAGAACAGAGCCCTCAGAAATAACGCCGCATATCTACAACTATCTGATCTTTGACAAACCTGACAAAAACAAGCAATGGGGAAAGGATTCCCTATTTAATAAATGGTGCTGGGAAAACTGGCTAGCCATATGTAGAAAGCTGAAACTGGATCCCTTCCTCACACCTTATACAAAAATCAATTCAAGATGGATTAAAGACTTAAACATTAGACCTAAAACCATAAAAACCCTAGAAGAAAACCTAGGCATTACCATTCAGGACATAGGCATGGGCAAGGACTTCATGTCTAAAACACCAAAAGCAACGGCAACAAAAGACAAAATTGACAAATGGGATCTAATTAAACTAAAGAGCTTCTGCACAGCAAAAGAAACTACCATCAGAGTGAACAGGCAACCTACAAAATGGGAGAAAATTTTCACAACCTACTCATCTGACAAAGGGCTAATATCCAGAATCTACAATGAACTCAAACAAATTTACAAGAAAAAAACAAACAACCCCATCAAAAAGTGGGTGAAGGACATGAACAGACACTTCTCAAAAGAAGACATTTATGCAGCCAAAAAACACATGAAAAAATGCTCATCATCACTGGCCATCAGAGAAATGCAAATCAAAACCACAATGAGATACCATCTCACACCAGTTAGAATGGCAATCATTAAAAAGTCAGGAAACAACAGGTGCTGGAGAGGATGTGGAGAAATAGGAACACTTTTACACTGTTGGTGGGACTGTAAACTAGTTCAACCATTGTGGAAGTCAGTGTGGCGATTCCTCAGGGATCTAGAACTAGAAATACCATTTGACCCAGCCATCCCATTACTAGGTATATACCCAAAGGACTATAAATCATGCTGCTATAAAGACACATGCACACGTATGTTTATTGTGGCATTGTTCACAATAGCAAAGACTTGGAACCAACCCAAATGTCCAACAATGATAGACTGGATTAAGAAAATGTGGCACATATACACCATGGAATACTATGCAGCCATAAAAAATGATGAGTTCATGTCCTTTGTAGGGACATGGATGAAATTGGAAAACATCATTCTCAGTAAACTATCGCAAGAAGAAAAAACCAAACACCGCATATTCTCACTCATAGGTGGGAATCGAACAATGAGATCACATGGACACAGGAAGGGGAACATCACACTCTGGGGACTGTGGTGGGGTGGGGGGAAGGGGGAGGGATAGCACTGGGAGATATACCTAATGCTAGATGACGAGTTAGTGGTTGCAGCGCACCAGCATGGCACATGTATACATATGTAACTAACCTGCACAATGTGCACATGTACCCTAAAACTTAAAGTATAATAATAAAAGAAAAAAAACTTAAAAAAAATAAAAAAATAAAAATAAACTAATTTATTTTAAGAGTAATATCTCATCATTATTAAAAATAAGAAATAGGGGAAAATATAAATGAATGTAAAAATTACCTGCAATAATCTCTACCTAGTATTATTCTTAAGCTTCTTTGCATATTATTTTATATTTGCATGTACACTTTGAGATTATATTGATTGTTCAATATTGAATCCTGCTCTTTTTTCACCAAATGACAAACATTTCACCCATCATGATAACAGTATATATCCACTTGACATTTCATGTGTTTTTTTTGTTGCCTGTTAACTGTATTGCATTCATTTCCTTGCTTATTTACTCTTAAAATATTCTTAGCCACTTACAGTGTACCATACATTGTGCTTATGTGTGTTTTCTTTCCCATATTAAATTACCTTCTGATGAGGAGACATTTTTTCAAAAATATATTCTATATCAGTTTTTACTTTCTCTAGGGAGAGAAATTAATTTAAAAAAAAACTCCCCAAATCTCTGAATATAATCAAATGAGAAATATTCAGTAATCAACTGAGCATGTTAAACAGTTGAGAAATGAATTTATGAAAATTTCAGTTATCCTCATCTTTTTGGAAATACTCTTTTATATCAAAGTACACTTGAAGTTGTGTACACTAACTACTGATCACCTTTTACTAGGTATAAAGTCCTTAAAAATTTTGTTTCGGCCGGGCGCGGTGGCTCACGCCTGTAATCCCAGCACTCTGGGAGGCCGAGGCGGGCGGATCACGAGGTCAGGAGATCGAGACCATTCCGGCTAAAACGGTGAAACCCCGTCTCTACTAAAAATACAAAAAATTAGCCGGGCGTAGTGGCGGGCGCCTGTAGTCCCAGCTACTTGGGAGGCTGAGGCAGGAGAATGGCGTGAACCCGGGAGGCGGAGCTTGCAGTGAGCCGAGATCCCGCCACTGCACTCCAGCCTAGGCGACAGAGCGAGACTCCGTCTCAAAAAAAAAAAAAAAAAAAAAAAAAAAAAAAAAAAAAAAAAAAAAATTTGTTTCAACTTTCCCTTTTAAGATTGGAATTTTGACCACAGTGTTCCATGGGAACAAAGTGAATCATCTGTGGCAAAATATGCTAGTCAAGAAGTGAGTTAGAATCTGTGCCAAGCGTTAAGACCTTGTGCACCCAGGTTCTGGGGCAGAGTGAAGAGGCAGGCTCCAAAGACATAGCTGTGTGTTGGACATGAGAGTGTTTGGAGGAATACAGGTAACAGGTGATGCTGGGAAGTCTTGTGAAATGGAAGGAGAACGAAGATGAGGAATCTGGTGGCCGTAATAACCGGGGAACAGATGAGCTGGAGGCCTCATCAGGAGGGGTGTCCCTTGGTGGAAGGACACCATTCCCGGCCTTAAAAGGAGAGGCTCCAGCACGGCTGGGGAAGCATGTGGATACCTTGTAATAAATCCACTGTCGTAGCTCATTCTTGATTGTAATTAAAAGAGGAGGACATGCTTTCTGAAGCTGACTCCCTCCAAGATGACCAGTTCCTATTTCTGTCCCCTGCTACAACTGTGGTTTAGAGCAAGAGACTCAAAAAAATTTCTTCTGTTATGAGTGACCTGTACGTTTTCTAGAATGGAATGAGGCTCTTTATTTAGTAGCTCAACTCTGAGAACACTTTTTCTTTGGACAAAATTAAAAAAGGAAAAGGTCAAGTTAATCATTAATCTCTCTCTTATCTACTGATGTCTCCATTTACGCCATATTTTCTATGTCCTACATAGCAGTCATCACAGAGGGCAATAAACACTTCTAATGACCTTGTAATTTATATGGAATGCTAGCATCATGATTATCAGCTTGTAAATTCTGGGTAATTCAATTGTGGACCATGCTGTTAATTAAATGAAAACATCCTGTTATTTTAGGGACCTTCCTTGACAAAGTACTATACAGCTGAAGAACATCTCGAATACAATTTTGGTTGGAAAGGAGCCAATTGATTTCAACAGAATCAGATCTGAGCTTCATAAAGTCTTTGAAGTGACTTCACAGAGACGCAGACATGTGCACTTGAAGATGCTGCCCCTTCCCCGGTACCTAGCAAAGCTCCTCCCTCTTTGTGTGCGTCACTGTGAAACCCCCACCCTTCTGCCTTGTGCTAAACGTACACAGTATCTAGTCAGGGGAAAAGACTGCATTTAGGAGATAGAAAATAGTTTGGATTACTTAAAGGAATAAGGTGTTGCCTGGAATTTCTGGTTTGTAAGGTGGTCATTGTTCTTTTTTAAAATATTTGTAATATGGAATGGGCTCAGTAAGGAGAGCTTGGAAAATGCAGAAAGTTATGAAAAATAAGTCACTTATAATTATGCTACCACTGATAACCACTCCTAATATTTTGATTCATTTTCTGCCTATCTTCTTTCACATATGTGTTTTTTCACATACGTACTTTTCCCCCCTTAGTTTCCTTTTATTTTATAGAGCAGAACCCTAGTCTTTTAAAGAGTTTAGAGTGAAATATATACTATATCAGTTTTTACTTTCTCTAGGGAGAAAAATTAATTTACTAGAAAGGCATGAAGTGATCATGGGAAGAGCGGTTAAGACTACTCAAGAGAAATATTTGGAAAATAAGCTTTCAATATTTTCTTTCTTTCTTTCTGTTTGAGACGGATTCTTGCTCTGTCGCCCAGGCTGGAGTGCAGTGGCATGATCTCGGCAACCTCCACCTCCCGGGTTCAGGTGATTCTCCTGCCTCAGCCTCCCAAGTAGCTGGAACTACAGGCACCCGCCACCATGCCCAGCTAACTTTTTGCATTTTTAGTAGAGATGGGGTTTCACCATATTAGCCAGTATGGTCTCAATCTCCTGACCTCATGATCCGCCCGCGTCAGCCTCCCAAAGTGCTGGGATTACAGGCGTGAGCCACCGTGCCTGGCCAGCTTTGGATATTTTCTAAGCTTTATTTCAAAAGCTCTCTGTGCTATGTTCTCTATAAAAAACATAATGAAATTTGAAATGATTGTTATTATAAAAGTAAGTAGCTTTTTATGAATTCAGAATATACGAACTTTTAAAAGCACTTTTAAAATATTTATCAAAATAATAAACATGTTCTGACATTTTTAAAATAAGTGACCTTGTGTTCTTTAACCAGTCTACATCTTTAGAGATCAAAAATTTATGTTATTATGGGCTATGCGAATGACCTCTAAAAAACATCAGAATATTTCTGGCTATTTAATAATAGCTTTATATATGACTACTGCTCATTTCTGTGTAATTCTGTTTAATAGTTGCTTTAAAGGTGAATTCGGCTACATTTACTTTGAGAACGATATAAAGAGATAGACATGAACTTGAATTTCAGTTTAAAATCATGCAAGATAGGAAAAAAAAACCATAAGAAAAATCAACTGATAAACTGCAAGAAAAAAAACATGCAACTTATACCACAAAGGGTAATTGCTTTATTATTTAGAGAGTACTTAAAAATTCAAAGACCAAACTTCTCTCCACCCCACAAAAATAGATAAAGGACATACAGGTAGGTCACCAAGAAAGAAGGGCAAGTAGCCAGTGAATATATATAGAGATACTTGATAGGACTTTTGCTTAGCTGGATCTTTAGCAAATCTCTTTTATTTCTTGGGATTTTGAAGAAGTAACTTTTAAAAGAGGACTTAAAACTAAATGCTTGGGAATTGGCCTTTTTTAGAATGAAAATTTCCCAACACAAGAAAAAAAATCCTGGGTTCTTTATTTTCCAGAATGGAGTAGGTCACTGAGCAATATGATTAATAAATATGCAATGCCTCTGACTTCTGTTTTGTTTTGTTTTGGAGACAGGGTCTTGCCCTGGGGCTGGAGTGCAGTGGTGCAATCTAGGCTCACTGCAACCTCACCTGTGACTTTTTAATTGCAAGAAAGCCAAAAGGTTTGTTTTCGATTACATCATTTATAATGGGAAATACTGTATATACTATGAGTAAAATACTATATTGCCTAACTTGTATTATTAAACAATTCTGCTGACCTTTGACCTTACATTTACATCTGAAAAGCAGTGTGATAGGAGTTATTAAGAAATTATTTTAGGCAGATAGAGACGAAAAGGGGTCCTTGGAACGTTTTTGTTTCTTTTAAAGCAGCTCCAGAAATGTTTCTTGTCTAGCAGGAAGGCCCTGGCTCTTAGAGCTGGGCCAGCAACCTTTAACAAGCAAATGCCAGCCATTAGAAACTGGGTCCACCCAACATGGTGATTTCCACCGTTTTCCTCTTGCCTTAGCCCTGACGTGTGCCTGACAACATGGCTGCCCCCACATATCTCACCACGTGTAGAACATCTTGGTGTCCTGCATTTGCATATTAAAAGCTAGGGTGGGAAGGCCAGTTTTTCAGTCTATGTGAATGACATCCCTGGTCAAACCAATCCCCTGAGCCCTATGCAAATCAGACACCACCTCCTCCAGCCTCTACATATATTTGGCTATTTTCCATCCCATGTGGGGGGTCTCCTCTCTTGGCTTTGGAGCCCCCCTCCCTCTGTCTCTGTAAAGGGGAGCTTCTTCCTTCTTTCTTGCCTATTAAACTCTCTGCTCCTTAAAACCACCCCATGTGTGTCCGTGTCATTTTTCCCAATTCAATATGAGACGAAGAACCAACAGGTTCCTCTGTTACTGGGGGTCCTTGCTTCCAGAGCTCCCAAGATGGTGGCGAGCCACTTCCAAAATGGCGGCAAGCTTCGTGTTCTCTGACCTGGGGTTCTTGGCCTCATGGATTCCAATGAATGGAATCTTCGGCCATGTGGTGAGTGTTATACCTCTATTAGAAGCCGTGGGTCCTGGAAGAGAACCGTGGAACCCAGTGACTAGTATTCAGCTCGGTTAGGATGAACCCAGGCACTTAGCCGTGCAGGAACAATGGCAAGCCTTTAGCCCGATTGGAAGTGGCAGTAGGTGCCTCTCTGGATCAGGAGCACAGCGGACACCCTGCCGGATCCGGAGGAATGGAAGTCAGCGGTGGGTCTGCGACGGCGGCAAACAGCAGTGGTGGACGGTGAGCGAAAGCTCAGCTCAAGCCGTAACAAACACAGACCAGAAGAGTGCAGCGGCAAGATTTAATAGAGTGAAATAGAGTGAAAACAGAGCTCCCACACAAAGGGAGGGGACCCAAAGGGGGTTGTCGTTGCCGGCTTGAATGCCTGGGTTTATATCCGATCACTGTCCCTCCTGCTGTGCTCTCAGGCAACAGATGATTGGCTATTTCTTTACCTCCTGTTGTTGCCTAATTAGCATTTTAGTGAGCTCTCCTTACTATCTGATTGGTCAAGCGTGAGCTAAGTTCCAAGCCCGTGTTTAAAGGTGAAAGTGGTCACCTTCCCAGCTAGGCTTAGGGATTCTTAGTTGGCCTAGGAAATCCAGCTAGTCCTGTCTCTCACCTCCACTCCTCAGAGCTGTATCATTTTGGTGCATGGGCCAGCAAAAGAAATTCATTCATCAGACTGGTGAGTATGGAGTGGATCTCAACTTTAAATCTGTCCTTTAATCTCAAGGCTCTCTTCCAGCTACCCTGTCGCCAAACTTTCTCTATCTGCGGTCTCTTACCCTCTCTGTGTGTGTCTAATGTGCAGGAATCTTTACAGTTCAGGGAAACAGTTCTGTTAGAAAAGATCACGAATCATGGCAGGCAGTAATTCAATAAATGTCTCTTACTCTCTACGGTTTCTGTGGCAAGCACATGGTATTTCTAAGCCACCTAGTGAAAATAAAAATCCTCTTTATGAGACACATTGCTGGTTCTCTGTGGTAACTTGCAGCTTCGCAACTTTTTCATTTTGCACTTTTCTACTGATACTTCTGTGGACGGGAAAGCTCTGCTTTTAACAGTTAGGAGTAAGATGTCTTTTGTAGCCAAATTTTAGTCTCGATATTGTCGCACTGGCAGAAAAACGAACATTCAGTTCCTTCATTTCTTTAAGGCATGTATTCTGTCTCCTATTAAGATGGTACTTAATTAGTGAGGGAATTTTAAGTCCAGAAATTAACCGGAACCATTTTTCTATGGGTAAATGCTTTAGCACGGGCTATAATAGCAGGATATAGAGTTCAATCTAGCACACCCCCTCCCTTACAGGGACCTTGCCCAATTATGTGATTTTTCTTGAGATCCATTTAGGAAGGAACACAGGCCACACCAGTCTAGAACGTCAAAGGGAAATAAAAGGTAGAGGACTAAGACTGCTTGGGGACGGCATGCCTAAGGTCCAAAAGTTTAGTTCCTCTAGTGCCATGGCTTGGGGGGTCACGCCTGCAGTCATGGGTGGCACATTTAAACGAGTGCTGGGAATCCAGGAACCCCAGAGGGAATATAGTTGGGGGGACGCCCTCTACTGTTTTTCTCTCCATCCTGGATCACATACCGAAAGGAAGGAGACTAAAAGGATGCTTTTATTCTCACTTCTCTTTCTAGTTGGGTAACAAATCATCTTTTAACATGCACTCCCCTGGAGTGTATTTTAAAGCACTGGGACTCTTTCAACCCAGAAACTTTGAAGTAAAAGTGGCCTATTTTCTTTTGCACAAGGGCATGGCCTTTTTACTTCCCCAAAATTAAAGAAGCAAGTTCCAGGGGAACCATCTGAGGATCCCCCTTATTTGGGGGCCCTTCACGTTCCCTTCTCATTGCAGGGCCTCAGACAAGTAAAAGGAGTCTTAGGCTGATTTTCTGACAACACTGATAGGTAGATAGAAGCTTTCCAAAATTTAACTCAGGTATTTGACCTCTCATGGAGGAATGTTATGCTCCTCCTAAGCCAAACTCTAACTACAGCTAAAACAGGAAGCTCTGCAAGCAGAAGAGAATTTTGGAGATGAGCAATATGTCTCCTGTAGTAGGCCAAAAGGGAAAAGAGAAAACAGGGAAGGCAAAGAAATAGGGGAAACACCATTGGCAACCCTAATTGGAACTCCTTTCTAAAGTGTTTTTACTTCTTTTGTGGTTTAAAATGGATTCTCTCTCTTTTATAATGTTCTTCCAACCTAGGAAAGGTTAATTTTCCAAACCTTAAAATGCTTGGCTTAGAGTTGAGCTAGGGGGAAGGGAACCCAGAAGCCTGATATGTTGGCAAAAGGGTAAAAATTTCTTACTAGTCAGGCTTTTGGCTTCTCTCTCCCTGTGCAAACCAGTAAACGGGATAATAAGGATCATAGTTTATATTCTCTGTGAATTTATAATTAATGAAAAAGGATTTGTGAGGTTGGTCTTAAGCTGTAGACAATCTGATGTGCTTTGCATGTCTTTCTGTATGGTTCTGTCAAAGAAAGGGTACCCTTAGGTTAGGATGCAGGCCCAGGACCCCATAAGCCTGCTGTTCAACCCAGCCCAACAAAACTGTCAGTAACAAACTTGGCTACAGGCCTCCATCTTGTTTCATGTCCTTAGGAGCATAACCTATAACTGCATGGCAATACATTGTTTTAGTTTCTGCCATTTTACAATGGTGGCTGTCTTCTTGTGCTAAGTCAGTTCCTGGGTGAGGGCCACAAAGTCAGATAAGACAGTTTGTCAATCTGGATGGTGCCAGGGTGAGCAGGGTTTACAAAATATCTTAAGCACTCATCTTGAGAGGGTCAAAATCTTGTAGCCTCCAGCTGCATGACCCCTAAGCCACAGTTTCTAATCTTATGGCTAGTTTCTTGGTCTGGTACCCCGGCAAGAGGGAAGTATATCTTAACAAGGGGCGGTTATCATCTTTGTTTTAAACTATACACTGTAAACCAGGCTCCTCACAAAGTTGGTTCAGTCTATGCCCAGGGATGGGCAAGGACAGCTTGGGGGCTGGAAAAAAAAATGGAGTTGCTTCGGTTGGATCTCTTTCACTGTCTCAGTCACAATTTTGCAATGACAGTTTCAAAAGCTGCCTATCTCCCCTTAAATAATACCTTGTACACTTGTGGTTAAATCATAACCTACTTAAGCCTTGTCGGTTTAACCTGTGAGGTGACTTTTTGTAAGGTTAAAAAGCCAAAAATCTTAACTGCTTGGTGTGGCTAAAGTCAAGTAACGAGGAATTTAAAAGAATTTTCTTAAAGAGTGCTCAGCTTAATTAAAAGTGGATATTCAAGTTATAGGTATATTTAAAAGTTTTTCTGGAAAAAGGCTCTTTTCTTCTGTCAGCTGAATTATTTTTCTCCATTTTTTGTCTTACCACTCTTAATGCATGCATGAGAGGCCCTAAGATAACTTCCGGTAGCATGGGACTCCTTGGGAAAACTTCTGATAGCATGAGATTCCTTGGGAAAAACCAAAGGCGCCACTTTGCAAAACAAACAAAAAAAAAAACATGTTTTCCTCACGAGATCCCAGGAGTTAAAAGAAGATAGATCCCTCTCAAAATCAAAGGCTGTGTTCTGTTTTGCATTGTGTTATCTGATGGTTTTGAGTTTTGGGGTATCAAAAATTACTTCCCATTATGAGAGAGCTTTGGTGTGTAGGAACTAGGTAGGAAATATACTTTAAGGGATGGCTAATAGTAGTTATAAATCAGAGAAGCATGCTCTTGGCCACCTGAAAGATATGGAAACATCCCCACCCCACCCCACCCCCAACTAAGAGATGAGACTCCCATGGGGGATGGGCTAATTACAAAATAAGCCGATTGGCTTTGGGGTGCCTTGCAATAAAATACATGATAGAAGCACTACACTGTCTTCCCCCATAGTATCTATATGGTCTTTTCATAAATTGAGCATTGAAATAGAAGTATAGCAAGGAGGTCTTAAAACACTAATCTGCCCTTTAGTAAAAGGGTTATAAAAGGTTTGTAAAGCTTTTACCTCATGGTCAAATTGGTTAAGATTAGATGGAATAATCTATAAGGTTTCATTTAAACAAATTGGGGTTAACATTAACAAACTAATGCAAGGGTAAAATTTGTCTTTGAACAGGATTTCCATGTCACAGTAAAGGCTAATGAAACATTTTTGCCTTTTGAGTCATCATTTTGGCAAAATAATTTATGGCAATCTGGAATTCTATTTCATAACATCAAGTGTTCAAAACCTCTAACATTTAACAGTCATCTCAAAATCAAACTTCAAGTTTCAAAATTTTCCTTCCTGAGGGCTGGCTTTTTGGATCGTTCAGAGGGCCCCTGAAACATTCAGAAAAGAGGTAAACATGATTATTTGACAAGTTTAGTCACATGAGATTGCCAAAATGATGTCCAATCTTATTTTAAGCATATTTTGATGAATATATGTTCCAAAATTATATAGGATTTCCAAAATTCTAATGTCTAAGTATATGCTATCAGTCATAATTAAGGGTAAAATTATTGGTAGCCATTGAGATAAATAAACTTCTTTTTCAGTCGTGTTTTTAACTGTAACTATCATGGAAATTTTGCCATTCACAGACAATTGTTGTCTTGCTTTATTCCTTCTCAAAAAACGGTTCATAACCAAGCTATATTAAGGACTTTAACAGGTGTTCTCAAATGCAGGTTTCTAATAGCTTTTAATAGCTTTGAACACTGTAACACAGGAATAGAGAAAGGACGTACGGGACTCATAAAAAACTGACATATTCGCAGATATCAAGCAAAACAAGAGTTAACTAAAGGGACTGTATTCAGAAAGTTAAAGCAAAATTTTTAACTTTTGCTTGGAATATTGCTGATCCTTGTTTTGTTTTTCAGAGTCAAGGAAACTTATTTTAAGCTATTTATGGCCTTTAATAATTGAGTAAGTTTTACTACTGTGAACAAAATTTGGAGCATGTTTATTTTTCTCTGCCTGGTTCCTCCGGAATTTGGAGACTATCTGTCTGTGAGTACTCTTAACTTATGGCAGTATAGTTGTTTGCATCAGTGCAATAAGAATCCTTTTTTTTTGTTTTTTTTTTTTTGGCAACAGGACACAATTGGGAAAACTGGTTATTTTACCAAGGCTTTGACTGAAAGGATGTGTTCCCCTTTAAGGAATCAAGCTTGACATGCAGAGCCAATGAAAGGCCCTTGGGGAGAACTGGCCTCATACCTTATCTACACACAGTCCCTGCACATGGTTCCTAACCTGTGGTCAGTAAAGAATGTCACTTTCTAACAGGTCTGGGAGCTCTGAGTTTATCTTGGGATCTCAAGAGGTGAGGATCACCCAACTCACAGGTATTTGTGGATACAAACCCATGGTGGACTTGGCTCTGAAAGTCTTATCTGGAAGTCCTTATGGAACAGAGTTTCATCAAAACCAATCCAAAAGGCCTATGTAGAAATAACCATTCTTGCTGCACTTTATGCAAATAATCAGGCCAGGTATAAGACTAAAGTTTATTCTACGAACAACACACACGGTCCTATCATAATTTGTTTTTACCAAAAATGAGAACTGGAGAGAGAAATTGTGCTCCAAAGTTTATCATACATTTGTCATTAAATCCTAGTTTCATTAATTGTCTTTAAGTTTTTTGCCTACATTTTAAACTAACTCTGCTTATTCCTGTAAATCAAGTGATCTCCTGCAGCTTGGAAGAAACAAAAAAGGATGCGTAATGTAAAAATCTGGATCAATATGCTAGTTCTGGGCAATTATCCTGCAAATTCTGCCAGGTAATGAAAGTGAGTAGGGTGCCCATAAACTGGAGGTTTCCTTTTATGGGGAAATAAAACCAATGAACTTCATAAATCCCAAAGGGAAATTGTGTATCTTAGAAAGTAAAATTTTAGATGGAAATTATCTACTACACCACACTTGTGGGAATTGCTATACTCACTCTACTGTTTGTGATAGGGTTATACATGGTAGCACCTTCTAACTGAAATATTGGACAGAAAGTTTCCATTGCTGTATATGTTGCTTAATTATTATCCTTATAGGAGGGATAATAGTTACTGACAAGAAGGAAGCATCAAAGTTTTACTGAGTCTGCTAGGACTTTTTATTGGGATTAGTGATGCACTTCTAAATAAAACATGCTGCTTCTGGATTAACACCTCTACTAAAGTACAGGAAAACCTACAGTTACTTAAAGATCAAATCAAAATCATTAACAAGCTCAGGAAAAATGCAGGCTTTAGCCCTGGGTGGCTACAGTCCCTCTTTAATGAATTCCAGTCTTCTTTATGGAATTGGTTAAACCCTTTATTAAGCCCTCTCTTGCTTATATGTCTTGTATTAATACTTGAACCCTGTATACTCAATACTGTAACTCAAATTGTTTCTTCTCCTCTAGAAGCAACCAAATTCCAAATGGGTGTTATAAACTGGATCACGCGTGGACACGCCCTATTTCCAAGAACCCTTAGACAGACCCCAGGAAGAGCCCTAGCTGCTGTTCCCCATTCAACGTCCATTTTCAGCAGGAAGTAGCCAGAAAAAGTCGTCACCCAATAACCCCCTAACAGCAATTAGGTTGTCTCCATGGGGGGCTGGGGGGAATGTGATAGGAGTTACTAAGAAATTATTTTAGGCAGATAGAGAGGAAAAGCGGTCCTTGGAAAGTTTTCATTTCTTTTAAAGCAGCTCCAGAAAAGTTTCTTGTCAAGAAGGAAAGCCCAGGCCCTTAGAGCCAAGCAGGCAACCTTAGGTATGCAGATACCGGCCATTAGAAATTGGGTCTACCCAACATGATGATTCCCATGGTTGTCCTCTTGCCCTTGCGCTGACATGTGCCTGGCAACATGGCCCCACCTATCCCCACACGGGTAGAACATCATGGTGCCCTGCATTTGCATATTAATAGACTAGGGTGGCAAGGCCAGTTTTTTCCCGGGCTATGTGAATGACATGCCTACTGAAACCAATCCGCTGAGCCCTATGCAAATCAGGCACCGCCTCCTCCAGCCTATGTATACCTGGCTGGTTTCTGCCCCACTTGAGGTCTCCACTCTCAGCTTTGGAGCCCCCGTCTCTGTCTCTGTACAGGGGAGCTTCTTCCTTCTTTCTTCTCCCTTCTTTTTTGCCTACTAAACTCTCCACTCCTTAAAACCACTCCACGTGTGCCCATCTCGTTTTTTTCCAATTCAATGCGAGATGAAGAACCTGGTGTTCCTTCACACATTGGAGCCCTATCAGCAGGGGCTGGACACCAATTGCTCTCTGAAGCTATTCCTAGCCCTAACATTCTTTGTTTTGTTTGCTGTTTTGGCACACTAAGTGTGTAAAGTTTATGAGGCTTAAATGAAATTTTCTGTCTCTACCATTACAATGAGAAAGGAGTAAAATATTTTTATTTTGCAAATCTACTTATGGAATATAGTTTCTAATATACTTATGTTTTAAAAGCCTTCAAAAGCCAAGAGGAAACAAAATACTACCCATTCCTTCTGAGAAATGCACTTCTTTCTGTACCTGATTGTTCTCATAATCCCTGTGTTGATATGTAATGCCACAAAAATGCTCTTGATAGTAACAGGAAAGAGGATCAGACACAGCTAACCGTAAAGGTCAGTTGGCTGGCAGGTGCTTAGTAGATGCAAATAGAGGCCCATTCATGCTACTACACCTGCTCCTGAAAAGCATAATGCAAATACAGTATACTAATTTAGGAGGCAAAGAACCATCTAACATCAAACTTTAAAAGAGTTGGCCACAGTTTAATGACATCCCTGCACACCAGCCTCCACCCACACTGCCCTTCATAAGCCCCTAAAAGGAGATTCCATAGTTCTAAACCTGGTCTACAAACACACATATCCTCATTCTCTCCTTTTCTTCTCTTTGGCAGTTTGGCAAAATCTTTAGGGGGAGTTGGAGGAAACATTAGTGTTTAATCTCCTAAATCCCCTTCATTCAAAGCTTTGGCTTCAAGTTCTACCCCTGTTAAGGCCTCAGGAAGTTCACTGTCGACACCCTCCCTTTGAACTCAGTCACTAAAATGATCTCAAGGCTAAGGGATAGACCACAGCTCCACTTCACAAGTAAGCTTGCAACACCTGATTTAGGAAAGTTTGCTGTGCAGACAGTTGTAGCTCATCCCTTTTACAGACCAATCTTGATTTGTTTCCTAGGGTTAAAATTATTTAAATCAAAATCTCTCAGAACTTTGTGGGCATTTGGTAAATTCATGCTGGGGGAGAACTGGCAGAGACATGTTAAATGCACTTGACCACAAGAACCATTTATTTCATCCAATATTTACCAGTTATTCATTGTACACCTACTATAGATTTTGGCACTGTAGATATGAGAAAATGCTATCCCTGACTCACGAAACTTATCCAAAAAGTAGAGAACAAGGCTCAGCCATTCAAATAAAGCCTCAGTTGAATCAAATAAAAATAAGTTTTAAATATTTAATGTGAAAGTCTTCGAGTATGTTAAGAATGGCTTAACTCAGGGATAGAAATTTTACTGATTGAAAGAAAATTTCAACAAAATACCAATCTTTGAATCTAATTTGACACCCGAAACTAGGCAATCAAACATTAGCACTATTTTTTCTTCTATAGTTTATAATAAAATTTCTCATGAGAAAAAAAGACATTTTTCTTCCAAGCCTGAAAATGGATGGAGAATTTTTAATATTTATTGTTGCTGAGAACAGTAAATAGACTATCCACTTTCACAAATGAAGGCTGGCTTTGAGCCACAGAACATATCTGTTATATCACTCTTTGACACCATATATTAACAGAAATAATAATTTTCCCGCATTGAGTTTCCTATTTACCATCTCTTTAATTATACCCGCTTTAATTGCTGTCATGGAGTGTTGAATTTTATAATCCAAGATACTAAGATGTTTATCTGATATACCACCTCCACACTTAATGTCTTATAATCTCTGCCAAGAATTTAAAAATTTTTGTTGGTCGGACAGGAAGAGGAAATTCCATGGTTTGGTGAACCCAGAAATTGTTCAGTACATCTCGGTTATAAAACTGTGTTAAATACACTTAAACTCTATAATTCTATAAGACCCATTTTAGGTTTATACACTGAGCATCCAGTTCCTCACCGTCCTCTCATAGGTTAACCCTGTGTAATACAAGTTCTGCTCCCATAATTCTATGAACAAAACAGCCCTTGATATATAGGTTTGATTTTTTAAATACATTTTCTTTACTTTATTCTAAATGTAACATAAGGTCAACATAGAAAACTGAAAAGCATAAGGAAAGTGAAATATCTGTAATCTTATCAACCATTGTTAATTTTGCTGTATTCCTAGTTTCTTTTTATACATATCAATATGGTACTTTTGTTTTAATAAAAGGACTGCCAAAAGGCACATGCCAGTTTGGACTCTGCTTTTTCCACTTACAATGATATCATAGTTTCTCATATTTGGTATTCTTTTGCAATATTTGCTGCATAGAATTCCATCACACAAAGGTAACTGCCAGAAATTCTTTATTACTTTTGCTAGACACTTAGGGTTTACATTTTTTCAAAAATTAATCACATCAGAGTTTTGATCACATCAGAGCTTTGATCACAGCTCTGATGATTTCTCTGGGAACTGAGAGCCTAACACAAGTCATGTCCACTTTAAGACTTTTAACATACTGAAAAGTTATGTTACAGAGTGCTGGTCCCCCTGCAACACGTTCACTCACATTGGCTGACGTTTTAATTCTTTGCCAATCTGAGGGGAAGAAATGTCAACTCTTTGTTTGCTCTTTTAATGTCAGTCATGTCCTTTTCCTTTTACCGGTCATTCCGGTTTACTCACAATCCTACAAATCAATCCTGCTCATTCTTAATTTTCCAGTATTGTTCCTCAGATTGTTTCACCAGAAAAGTTCTCCCCCTTATCCACTCTTCACCTAACAATTTCTACCCATCCGAATCCTTCTGCATTTATTGCTTCCAGGAATTTGGCACTTAGGACACCCTTGTCCTTACATTGTTCATGCATGTATATTTCGTCTTCAATAAAAAATTTAGTTGCTCAAGGGCAAGGGCCCCATAGAGTCTCAATATTCTAATTGCCTGGTGTTGCTTAATAAATTAGATTCGGAAGGGTCCCCTCCAGGGAGGGGAGCAAAGGGCAAATTACCTTAGGGGCTGGGAGTGCAGAAGCCAAACCTTTGAGATTGTGAAAACAAGACGGCCCCGAGACGATCCAGTAGCAGGCATTCAAGCAAGAAAAACTCAAATATTGTTCCCAATAATGCCTGACTAATGCCAAATACCAAGTAAGGGCCCAGGCAGTCCTGACAGCCTGCAGTGCCCCAGGATAAAACTAACCCTGAGGGGTGCTAGCCCACGGTGACCCCCTGTCTAGACTCTGGATCTCTATTTTTAGGTCGAAGTGCTTTATTCTTGACTCCCGAATTCCCGGAAACTATTACCAAAGCAGCTTAGTTTTCTCTCCACCCTGCCTGGGTCACAAATATGACGGCGAGCCAGTCCTTTCCCGCAGGACGCCTCAGGCTTCCGGGATGGTAGGCCAAGGGCTTAGCAAGAAAAAAGGCGGCCTCGGGGAACCTGTTCTGTTAGGTTCCGCCAGGGCCTCCCCCTGACCTCTCGAAGGCCAAGGGCTGCCCATGAACGCCGAGGCTCCGCCCCGCGGCCCGCCGATTGGCCCCAGCCGCCCTGGTGACTCGACGCACTTCCGCCCCGGGCGCGGCTCGGGCCACGCCCACCTGTCCTGCAGCACTGGATGCTTTGTGAGTTGGGGATTGTTGCGTCCCATATCTGGACCCAGAAGGGACTTCCCTGCTCGGCTGGCTCTCGGTTTCTCTGCTTTCCTCCGGAGAAATAACAGCGTCTTCCGCGCCGCGCATGGAGCCTCCCGGCCGCCGCGAGTGTCCCTTTCCTTCCTGGCGCTTTCCTGGGTTGCTTCTGGCGGCCATGGTGTTGCTGCTGTACTCCTTCTCCGGTAGGACCCCGGGGCGGGTTCGCGCGTCCGCGGCGAGACTAGAGCTCTCCTCAGTCGGGCAAGAGTCGCGGGGCGGGGCTCACAGCAGGCCGTGCCTGTTTGGGGACAGGGTTCTCTGAGGGGTGCAGTGCTCAGATCCCGGGGGTATGTGGCGGGGAATGCGGGGACCACGCAGAGCCCGAGGTGAAGCTTGTTTGGTGGCGTCGTGTGCGCGGCCAGCATTTACGCAGGATCTGGCTGCGTCCCTAAAAAAAGCGTGAATCGTGTTTTCGGGATTGAGCCAGTCGGCCAGGGGAGCGCGGACTGGGCGCCCTAGGTGAGGGCTTGTTCTGGAGTGCACAGGTGCGTGGGAGTGTTGCTAGGGCCCGTGCTGTGTCCGTGGTGAGAGTTTGCCCTGTGTTCCCTTGGTGCCTTGGTGAGTGGGGTGTTCATTAGGGCTTGGACAGTACCCGCGGTAAGGGTTGCAGTGCGTCTGCTGTGCCCCATGTGCTGGGCTGGGCGAGCAGGGGCCTGGCCAGGTGTTGCTGGGAGCGTGCTGTGCGTAAGTGGCCTGTGTGCAGAGTTCACTGTGGGCAAGACAGCTCAACTGTTTGCTTTGAATGGAGTGAGCGCGGACTCTGGGGCTAGGGAGGGCATGTTGAGTGAGAGCAGGCTCTCGGTGCCTGGGGTTAGAGAGGTGGTAAGGGCGCGCCATGCTTTTTGTGCCTTCTGTGAACAGTCTCCGTGTTACCTGAGCTCCTATTAGTTTGTAAATGGCTGCTTTTTTGGGGGGTGGGTGGGCCATCGAGTCTTCTTCCTGTTCCCAACCAATATAGATAGTATCTGATTCCATTGCCTAATGGCTTTTTGACATTGTTTTCCTTCTTTTCATTACTTTGAGTCATATTTGAGAGATGTGAAACAACCTAAAAAACAATGGTAGCCAAACCTAGTGAGAAATTAGTATCCTAACAAAGGAAGGCAGATAATGTTAATCTTGTTTTCCCCTGCAGCTCATAAGCTAAAGCTTAAGGCCTATCCCACTAAATTTATTTTGTATTTCATTGAATGGAATCAATACTTTTAAAAATGCATGCTAGGCCAGGCGCAGTGGCTCACGCCTGTGATCCCAGCGCTTTGGGAGGCCCAGGCGGGGTGATTGCCTGTGCCCAGGAGTTCAAGATCAACCTGGGCAACATGGCAAAACCTTGTCTCTACAAAAAAATACAAAAATTAGCTGGGCATGGTGGTTTATGCCCGTGGTCCCAGCTACTCTGGGGGCCGAGGTAGGAGATTCACTTGAGCCCAGGAGGTGAAGGCTGCAGTGAGCTGTGATCATGCCACTGCACTCCAGCCTAGATGACAGAGTGAGACCCTGTCAAAACAAAACAAACAAACAAAAAAAAAACCCGCTAAGAAATACATGCTTATTGTGCGATACGAACAGAATCAAAAGACAGCTATTTTTAATATTTTGGCATATTTGTTTCTGCCTTCATGTGCGCGTCATGTGTATCTATGTCCAAATTATATTTAGGATCCAATAACATGTATAGTTTCTACGTTGCATTTTTTTCCTTAGGAGCATTCATTCAACGAATATGGGTCTTGTATGTCTGGTGCTATTACACTGGTAGGCAATAACAAACCATTCCTATTTTCTTGATCCTTTTTTCACTATTTGTTTACACACACATTCATGCAGGAAGATAAGCAGGGACTTTGTTTTGCTCAATGATAAGTGCTCAGTGCCGGGAACACAGTAGATAACCAATAAATTATTTGCTAAAATGTATTGGGATTGGCAGACATTAAAATCCAAAACATAATAGTGACAAATAAATTATGAACCAAGGGAAGTGCTCTGGAGGCAAGCAGTATAATTTTCAGATATAAATCTGACAGCATTTAACAAATGATTGGAGAGAGGGAAGGCTTCTCTGCTCATCAAACAGACTTTGGGGCATCTGTGCTTGCTGTTCCCTCAGCCCAGGAACATTCTCCTCCTGACCTGCTGCAGAAACAGTCTCGCTCTTCTGCAAACTCAGCTGGAATGTTACACCCTCAGAGACCTTCTCTGATCACCCCACCTCGCGACCCCCCCATCTCAGGTTGAACACATACAACCCAGTTCAAGTCCCTCTTCACTTGTAATCACCCTTTTAAAATGACCTTTTCTGTTCTTTGTCTCACCCTGTCAGAATGCAGGGATCCTGTCTGTCTTGTCGCACTTGTGGTTCCAAAAGCCCGATTTGTTTACCTCTGTATCTGTTAAATACCAGAAAATTAAATATACTATTTGGCTGGGGCTTAGAGCCTAGGAAAAAGTTCCTCCTGCCTCCAAGAGGAAGGTTCTTTAAAGAGCTATGCTCAGGATGGTCTTTCTGCGGTACCTAAAAAGCTAGGGCAGTGGCAGCTGAGAGCCAGAAAGGATCTGTCTCCCCTATTTGTTGACTCTGCAGGGCTTCCAGTACTTCAGTCTTGCATCTCACTGATCATTAAAACGTTCATTTTGAAGGAGGGTAATGGGAGTAGGGAGTAGTGGTGATAAGAAGAAAACAAAAGGACTTTTTTTTTTTTCTTTTAAGATTAATGTTTAGAATAGGCTTAGTGCTAGAAGTTCAGCCTGGACAGCATAAGCAGACCTCACCTATACAAAACATGTAAAAAAAAAAAAAAAAAATTAGCCAGGTGTGATGTTGCATGCCTGTGGTCCTAGCTACTTGGGAGACTGAAGGGGGAGGATCACTGGAGCCCCTCATGGTCAAGGCTGCAGTGAGCCCTGATCATACTCCAGCTTGGATAACAGAGCAAGAGACCCTGTCTCAAAACAAAACAAAACACACACACATACACACACAAACAAACAAAAAAAGAAACAAAATAGGAAGCTGAAGAAGATAATGAAAGCGATTTGAAATAGAGGAACATAGAATTATGAAATGAATAGGGTGCAACATGGAAAATAACAAAACTAAGAATGAAGAGAAGGAAAAGCAAGGTTAAGTTTGAGGTTCATAAGGGTAAATCAAGACAGGTATGAAACCTAGAGAAAGTAAAAATGAGAAGTCACGATGCTAGGCAGAGAGAATACGTGAATTAAAATAAACATTCAATTTTTGGAGCAACTCACTCTCACAAGGAGAAGGTTTCGTAAGCAGACAGTGCTGTGCATGGGAGACCTGCCCTCTCAAAGGTAGTTGCCAAATGGTTCCAGATAGTTGAAGGAAACATGTATCAAATTTCAGGCCAGTCTCATTCCTCCAGAAGAGGAGCTGCTTTTTTGGACAAAACCCGCAATCTCCTGTTGTGCGTGGTCTCTTCTGCCTATTTTAGGTGTTTTCCTTATTTCCAGTGAAAGAAGCCAAGATCAGTAAGCACTTACACAGTAGCGTCTCAGTTTCCTTACTGGGCATACTACAATGCAAAGAGAGCAGTCCATATCTGGTCACCTGCCAGGATACCAGAAGACTGGGAGATAGGCAGCACAAGAAATGGCCTAATCTTCTTTCTCCATTGTGCTGTAGAATGATTATTTTCAATATGAAATTGATTACAATATATTCTTCACATTGTTTTGTGTTTGACAGCAGTGGATTTTGAATACCAAATTTTTTTTGAATAGCTACTCTGAGTGACATATTGTGCTGGGTGTTGTGGCCACATGGATGAATGGAGTTGGCCTTGTTAACTATTAAACACAAAAGCATGTGATAGTTACCTGAGAGATCCATGCAGGGGAGAGTCCAGGGGAAGGTGACTGATCACTGCTTCCCAGGGGGAGGCAGAAAATGCTTCCTGGAGGAGATGATGGGTGGATTAAGGAAGATGAGTTGAGCAGGAGTTGTAGCTACCAGCCAGGGAGGAAGGGTATTCAGAGCAGAGGAAGCAAGGTGAGCAAAGGCACCAAGATGTGACACTACTGGACTGCCAAGCTATTCAGTGTGGCAGAGTAGGGCAAAGGAGGCAAGAAAGAAGGAAGAGGATTAAATCACAGGGTGAGTAATTCTGAAAAGCAACAGACTCATCAGGAGTAAACACTCACCATCATAAATTCAGACTTTCACGTTATTACCTGTCCTTTTAGGGCAACTTGAGCCTTTTGTTTGACTTAGCACAACATGAATCCAAACTAGGGTTGTTTTGATTTTCCCAGGCACGGTAGCAGACAATTTCTTGAATACTTATTTGCAGATAGAGTTTGTCAGTGTCAGCATTTCTTGTGCACCCACAAGGTGAGTATAGTAGAAAAAGAAGAACATGGTTCTTGACCCCCAGGAACTTGCCTTTTAAGAGAAGACACCCTGAAGTGACAAGCTGTTATAAGTTAGTGTTTTAAACTATGGAAGAACAATCTGAGCAGAGTACTCTATACTGTAGAAGACTTCTTAGAGGAGAAGTTACTTTTGAAATGAATTTAGAAAAATGTGGGGAAAGATGCATCCATATATATTTTAAGATCAAAGACATTAATGCTGTCTCTTCAGTTTATTGTCGAATGTTTATTCCCAAACAAACCAAAAGCTAATAGGATGTTACTTAAAACATGCAAGTCCCATTTCCTCCACTGCTATGAGCACTCAGGTAAAAGCATGGAACAGTCATTTAAAATCTTGCCAAGGGCCTTTCTGTTTTTTCTGTACTACCTGCTGCCAGACCACAGTCCATGGCTGATGAAAGTGATATCAGTACTTCATCTTCATGTTCCTATTCTCTTATCCCTAGATGCCTGTGAGGAGCCACCAACATTTGAAGCTATGGAGCTCATTGGTAAACCAAAACCCTACTATGAGATTGGTGAACGAGTAGATTATAAGTGTAAAAAAGGATACTTCTATATACCTCCTCTTGCCACCCATACTATTTGTGATCGGAATCATACATGGCTACCTGTCTCAGATGACGCCTGTTATAGTAAGTAAACAAACCTCTTTTTTTTTTCTGCTTGCTCTAGAGATTTGCATACATTTTGGGGTACATATTCCACTACGGTGATGATGATTTTCTTCTTGTAAAATGAGGTTCAAGATAACAATGCATTTTTGCAAGCTTTGAGAAATCAAAATCTCCAAGAAATCATTTTCCTGGCAATAGATTGCCTGGGTGAATATGAATCTTAAGTTTGCCCTTATAATAAGTAAATAATGAAAATTATATTCCCACCCATTCAAAAGAGCACTGCAGAATTTTGATTTTGATTCAGATCTGTTTTATAACTGGATTGAAAACTATCAAAATTATTTTCTTTCAGGAGAAACATGTCCATATATACGGGATCCTTTAAATGGCCAAGCAGTCCCTGCAAATGGGACTTACGAGTTTGGTTATCAGATGCACTTTATTTGTAATGAGGGGTAAGTTGCTCCTTAGAGGAAATAAGGGAAGTGTTAGTAATTTTATTTTTGTTTTGCTTCTCTTCTTAAGCATTCCTGTAAACTTAATTTTGCTTTCTATGTGACAAGTTATACTTCTAGCCAAACAACTCTTGGATGTTTTATGGAGATAGGCAAGATATATAGTAAATAGAAAGTAATTGATATTTAAGGAAAGCAAAACTACTTGCTGTTTCTGACAATAAGTCTGTTGTAAGCATTAAGAATGTAGTAATCATGAGAATTTGTCCTTCACAACTGAGTGTCCCCTATTTAAATCTGCCAACTCTTAGAGTTGAAGTAGGGCTCACAAAAATGAGAAATAGAATTGCCAACTAAAGATACACTTGTATCCAGATGACTCTGTAAAGTGTTATCAGACCAAAACTGACGCGGTTAGCCTTTACCATCATGTTGATCAAAATCTCTCAGTTGAAAAACCTTATTTTTGAGACTGCTACAGTGTGAAGCATCTCAAGAGCAGGTACTGAGCCCTCGGTAATAGCCTTTGTTCTGTAGGGTTTTGAAGTTGTATATATTGGAGATACTAGACATTTAAGATAAATGTGCATTTATAGAGTAAATGTAAGTATTCTGCTATAACAGAATACTTGAGGCTAGGCATTTATAAAGAAAAGAAATGTATTTGGCTCATATTTCTGGAGGCTGGAGAGTTCAAGGGGATGGCAGTAGTGTCTGGCAAGGGCTTTTGTGCTGCATCATAACATGCTGGAAAGTGAAAGGGAAATTTAGCATGTGCAAAAAAGACAAAGCACAAGGGAGGGGGTTCTCGCTTTATAACAACGTGCTCTTATGGTAATGAATCCAAGCCTACAAGAATGAGAACTCATTCCCTGAAGAATTAATGAAGACCCTCTAGAAAGGCATTATACCTCTTAATGACCTAGTCATTTCTTAAAGGCCCCACCACCTCTCAATGCTGTTACACTGGCAATTAAATTTCAATATGAGTTTTGGTAGAGACAAACCAGATTCAAACAATAGCAGTAACACACCATAATATAGAAAAAGTAAGTGAGTCTTGGAGGAAAAATCAGCTGTGACTATGTAAGGCAACTGACAGTTTTTAAAATTTGGTCAAGTAGAAATATTGGAATATTCAGTTGACACATACTGCTTGCTAGGCACACCGAGGGATACCAAAACTTTAAGACAGTGACCTTCCTAAAAGAAGTTCTAACCTTATTGAGAAATAATATATACTGAGAGCAATAAAAGCAAAATACTAAATGAGAAATACCAAATAAGTAGAATTATTCATGATAATTACTCTAAGAGTCCAGAAGGAGGAGAGATTCCTGTGAATTTAAATCAGGGAAGATTTCATTGAGTATAGGGGTATACTTAATGAAAGTATTCTTATACTCAGTGAGCTATTCCTAGAAATACACTCTGTTCTAAATAATATTAATAGAAGCTAAAACTCATGTAGCACTATCTATGTGCCAAATGCTAACTTATCTAATCCCCTAAACAACCCCATGTACTGTTATCCCCTTTTAATCAATTAGGAAGCTGAGTGAAGGAACTTTAAGTGACTTACCCAAGCTCAAGAAACTAGATAAGTTGAGAAGCAGGGACTTGAATCTATCCATTCCAGCTCTAGGGCCTGTTCTCTCTACACAGTCCTTGTCCTTACTGTGCAAAGTGGTGTGAGAAAAGGCACAGAAATGAATGTGTAATGTGATTGCAGGAGGCAGCAAAGAGGCTGGGTGGAAAGGCACAGCAGATTTATTTAGACATCTTTGCTCTTGGCCAATATATATTCAAATGGGGAAACTCTATTTGATTAAATTGCAGATTTATTTAGCACTTTCGTTATATAGTATGTTGTTTAAGAAACCACCCCCTCAAACTACTGTAGTGTAGAAAAGAAACCATATAAAAAATTCCTTCATTATTATGTGTGTCTTATTAATTGCTATACAAAACAGTAACCCTTTCTTTTCTCATTTAGTTATTACTTAATTGGTGAAGAAATTCTATATTGTGAACTTAAAGGATCAGTAGCAATTTGGAGCGGTAAGCCCCCAATATGTGAAAGTAAGTAAATTCTTTTTTTTTAAATTTAGACCAGTAGTCCTCAAAGATTTTTGCCTCCTTTACACCCTTTACACTTTAAGATTAACAAAGATCCCAAAGAGGTTTCTTTTATGTGGGTTATATCTATTGGTATTTATCATATTGGAATTCAAACGGAGAGGTTTTTAAATAATTATTGATTCTTTTTGGTTTTGTTTGTTTTTCCTAAGACACGGTCTCAGGCTATTTCCCAGGCTGGGGTGCAGTGGCACAATCTCAGCTCATTGCAGCCTCAGCCTCTCCAGTAGCTGGGGCTTCAGGCATGTGCCACTATGCCTGGCTTTTTGTAATTTTTGAAGAGACGGGGTTTTGCCATGATGCCCAGGCTGGTCTTGAAATCCCATGCTCAAGCAGTCTGCCCCCGTGGGCCTCCCAAAGTGCTGGGATTACAAATGTGAGCCACCCCACCTGGCCTGATTAATTTGTAAGAATAAATGCAATACAAATTAACATATGTAACATAATTTTTATGAAAAATAATAATTTTCCAAATCAAAATAAAATTAGTGAGAATAGTGGCATTGTTCACATTTTTTGCATATCTCTTCAACATCTGGCTTAAAGCAAGATTGTATTTGGCCTGTTGTGTTATCACACAATATGTAGCCTTTGGAAAAATATCACTATATTCTTATTAGGATCAGAGTGAAAAAAGACAATAATATTTTGGTGGTATTGTGAATCACCAATTTAGAAAATGGATATATTTATAAATTGCAAAGGATTTCTTAACTAGCACCGAGTTAAGCATATTTTCTCATTAATTGTCAGCATTTCTTGTGATGACTAGAACAGAACTTAGCATGGCCTTCCAAATAAATACAGGCGTATTAGGCCGTTTTCGTATTGCTCTAAAGAAATACCTGAGACTGGGTAATTTATAAAGAAAAGAAGTTTAATTGGCTCATGTTTCTACAAGCTGTACAGGAAGCATGGTGCTGGCATCTGCTGGGGGTTTGGGTAGGCCTCGGGAAACTTAACAACCATTGGGAAAGACAGAAGGAGAGCAAGGTGTCTCACATGGCAGGAGCAGGAGGAGCAAGGTGGGGAGGACGGGAGGTGTTGCGCACTTTTAAATAACCAGATCTCCCAAGCACTCAGTATCACGAGAACAGCACCAAGGGGACGGTGCTAAACCATTCATGAGAAATCCACCCCCATGATTCAGACCCCTCCCACCAGGCCCCACCTCCAACATTGTGGACTACAATTTGACATGCGATTTGGTGGGGACACAGATCCAAACCATATCAATAGGTATTTACACTTTAAGAAAATGAGATTTGTTCTGAAAGTTAGTTACTACATTAATGGTTTGAATTTGGGATGATATATTTGCTCATAGAAACCTTCTTTTAAATCCATATTGAATTCACAAACAGCTTGTAGAAACCCTATATTGACAAATTTATTGAAGACACAGAAATTTTACTAATGCTGTCTTAATCTTTTACATTTCCTTTCCTCTTTTTCTTCATTTTTAAGAGGTTTTGTGTACACCACCTCCAAAAATAAAAAATGGAAAACACACCTTTAGTGAAGTAGAAGTATTTGAGTATCTTGATGCAGTAACTTATAGTTGTGATCCTGCACCTGGACCAGATCCATTTTCACTTATTGGAGAGAGCACGATTTATTGTGGTGACAATTCAGTGTGGAGTCGTGCTGCTCCAGAGTGTAAAGGTAGTGTTTCAATTTATTTCCTTCTTCATTTGTAAATACTATGGAAACATTTTGTAAATAGTTTCATCTACAGATAAACAAAGCAGGTGTATGTGCTTCCTCCTCCTGTATAATTGGTTTCTAATTTATTTTAATTCAGGTCAATTCAAGTCAAAAAATAGTTCTAGCTAGAGTTCCCTATTTCTCACCCCTACATGTTCTTGGCATTTCATTTTATACAGTGTGAACTACTGTGTACCTGCATGAGTTAGAAGTTTTTGTTTGAAAGAACCAAAAAAAAAAAATACACACTGGCTTAAAGAAAGTTTCATCTTGTATTACAAGAAATCTAAGAGTTCTGGCTATGGTAGTGGTAAACTGTGACAGACTAATCGTCTCACAAATAAAAATGATAAACTCTGGATAAAAAAAATTTTTTTTTTAAAGACCAAATGTTTAAGGCACTCTGGAGTGACCAAAAGTATGAAGACCATGTAGGGGACTTGCCCATTTAAAGAAAGAAATCACTGAATAACAGTGATTTAAAAGTATATACTCCCCAAGTACACATGAAACATTCTCCAAAGTAGACCATATTCTAGACAATAAGACAACTTTTAACAAACTTCAGAAAATTGAAATCATTCAACATGCATTATCACAATAGAATGAAAGCAGAAATCAATAACAAAGCCAATCCCCAAAGAATTGGAAAGTGTACAGGACACTTCTAAATAACCCATGCATAAAAGAAGTAGTCAGCAGGGAGATTAGAAAGTGTTTTGAATTGAATAAAAACACAACATCTCAAAATATCCAAATATGTAGGATGCAGCTAAAGCATTGCTTACAGGGGAATGTATAGCATAATATACTTGTGTTAGAAAAAAAGAAAAGTCTCAAATCAATGATCTAATTTTCCACCTTAAGAAACTAAAAAAGAGCAAGTTAAATCCCAAACTAGCAGATGTAAGGAAATGATAAAAATAGAGCCAAAATCAATGAAATTGAGAAAAGAAAAAAAAATAGAGGAAATCAGTGAAACCAACAGTTGCTACTTGGAGATCAATAAAGTGTGTAAACCTGTAGCCAGACTGACAAAAAAAGACGCAAATTAACCAATACTGAGAATGAAAGAAGTGGTGGCCAGGCGCGGCACCCCAGCCAGCTTGAAGACCCTGCCCTCCTGCAGCCGGCAGGGGCAGTCACTCCCGGACTTGTCCTTTTAGAAGTTCCAGCTTTACCACTTGCTGGTGGAGCCCAACCACTGCCGCAGGGTCCTCATCGCCAACACGCCTGGCAGATCCAAGAGGAGATGGCCCAGGATGAGACGTGGCACACACAGGCACCCGAGAGTGTGGGGTTGGCGTTGTTCCACTGCCTGGTTTCTGCAGAGATCCTGTGCCTGTGGCCTGTGCCCGCCATGTGGAAGCCAGAGGGGGTGTGCCATGCCCCCCGCTTTGGACACTGCTGCGTGAAGGGGCCAGTTTTCAGACCTTTGCTCTGTCACCTCAGCACTGGCGCCAGGAGCCCTGAAGAGCAGCATCTGGGAGACGGACAGCCCTGGGGAAAATAGAGGAGGCGTTCAGAAGTAGCTAGATGAGATATTTGAAATACTGAAGACCAAAAACCCCAGTTTGCATGGAAGAACTGGCCTCAGATGTGGTCAGTTCCTATGATGACCTGGACACACGGTGCTGACCCACACGATGGGAGGTGGCCCTGCAAAGCATTCAGAGGCTTGGGCCTGCTGCCGTCCGGCCTCCCACCTCCAGCTGCAATTGCATTCTGACCTGGGCAAGTAGGAACACGTAGTGGAGATCCTGATGGAGACCTGAGCCAGGCGTCCCGGAGTGCTGGCCAGGCGTGGAGTACGGGATCCAGCTAAGGGAGACTGGCCAGCCTATAGCCCCCCAGCCTTGCTGGCTCCTCTGCTAATTCCAGCAGGGTCTGCAGCCCCAGACCCATCCCCTTCCTTCCCGTCTGCAGAGGGCAGGCCAGAGGCTGGTCTCAGTGGGAGCTAGGGCTCTCCTCAAGGGCTTTTTGACCTTGGGCCAGTCTTGACATCCCCACAGCCCTGCGCCCCTCATCACTTTTCGTGTCTCTCGGAGACGGCGAGCTGCAACTGCAGCAATCTTGTTTAAATTTAGGTAGGTGAATTTCTTAGAATTAAGTTTCATATGTTTTGAGCAATAAGTTTTCTTAAGATATATATATTTTAATCTTTTTAGTTTTATCTCTGAATATTTTTTATTTTTTTTCAATGTATTTTTTTTCTGGAAACATTCTGTGCTGCTACATTAGAGCCTACACAGTTTAGTTGGTACATTTCATTCTTTTAAGGTTCAAATAAGGGATTTTATTTTCCAGTGAGTTTCCTTGCATTGTTAACAAGTCAACAGCGTTAACGTATGATTTTTTGGTTTTTTTTTTTTGTATACTTTAAATTTGTGTGCAACCCTTCTCATTTATGCCCTGTGTTACAGTGAGAGCTTGGTCAAAGTGGGGAAAACACACACAGCTGCTACACTTTTTTTTTTTTTTTTTGTCATTGGAACATTTGTGCCATGTCTTCCTAGACTTAAGTGTAAATTATGGAGGGTTTTATTTGACAATTTATATGTAAATGTCATTGAAGGCTAAGGTTAAATCTTTGGAAATCACAGGCACCAGTTGATCTTTAGAGACCTCAGATCCCCTCAGGTGGCGCCTTGTGATAGGCGGTGTTCTGGGAGGCTTCCTGTCAGGTTCCACAGCACAGGCACCTGCTCTGGGCACGGACTGAGCTCCTGGGGTGTGCACGGAGCTGCGGTGCGCCAGTCACATGCGCTTGGAAACAGCGTGTGCTGCTGGATTGGAAATGCCTACGTTGCTCTGTTAAATTGGTGCTGGAGCCAAAACCTAAGGTTAAATTTAAGTCTAGAATGAAAGAAATCTGAATCCATGTAATTAATGGCCGCTCGATCTTGAGAGTCCTTGACGGCCCTGCCTCAGGAAGTGAGGTGGGGGTGCCTACACCTTTCACTTTCCTTCCTCACGTCCACCCCGTATGTGTTTCTCATCCTTTTTCTGACTTCCCCCCATCCCTTAGCCAAAAAGCTTTATATTCTTTTGTGCATATGGTCATTCTTTAATATCAGTGATGTAAACTTTACTTGATTACTTTACAAAATTATTCAACAGACAAACAAAAGAATGAAAAAGAGAATATCACTAAATATCCTACAGACATTTAAAGGATGACAAGGGAATATTATAAACAACTTTATGCCTACAAATTTGACAACTGAAATGGACAGATTCCTTGAAAGATACAAAATGTCAAAACTCACTTGAAGATATGGATAACCTGAATACTCCTATATCTACCAAAGAAATAAAATTTGTAGTTAATAACCTACTGAAGGTCCAGATGGCTTCACTGGGGAGTTCTACCAACCATCTAAGGAATAAATCACAGCAATTCTACACAAGCGTTTCAAGAAAGTGCAAGAGGAGGGAACACTTCTCATCCCATTTTATGATGATAGCATTGTCCTTATACGAAAACCAGAAAACAAAAACATTATAAGAAAATTACAAATAATATCCTTGATGAACACAGGACCAAAAATCTTCAACAAAATATTAGCAAACCAAATCCTGTGATACATAAAAAGAAAAGTAAATCATGACCAAGTAGGATTTACCCTATGAATGCAAGATTAGTTCAAATGCAAAAATTAATCAGTGTAATTTGCCACATCAGTAGACTATTAAGGAGAAAAAAAATCATGTGGTTATCTTATTAGATGCAAAAAACAAAGAAAATGTTTGACAGAATTCATCATCTTATTTTTTCATGATAAAACTTCTCAGCAAACTAGGAACAGAAGGGTACTATCTATCTTACCCTGATAACAGACATCTACAAAAATCTCACAGCTAACATTACACTTCATGGTTCAAAAAAATTATACTTAGTGGTAAAAAGTAACATTGTACTTAGTGGTTAAAAAAACCTTACTTACATTTCTGTCTAATTAATAAAGACCTAATTCTGGAAGGAAAACAGTGAGGATGTCCACTCTTACCACTCCATTCAGCATTATATTGGAGATCCCACCCAGTACAGTAAGGCAAGAGAAAGCTATTAGGCACACATGTTGGAAAAGAAGAAATAAAAACTGTCTCTACTCACAATGAGATGCCACTAAATACCTATTGGAAAGGCCGAAATGTAAACACACACACCCCAAACTGACAATACCAGGTATTGACAAGGATATGGAGCAGATGAAACTCTCATATACTGATGGTGAGAATCAAAGTGCAATGACCACTTTGGGACATTTTTGGCATTTCTTATAAAGTTAAACATACTCTTATCATACAACTCGGCAACCCAAATAAACTGAAAACATTTTCACACAGAAACTTATATGAGGATGTTCACAGCAGCCTTATTCATAATCACCCCAAACTGCAAATCGCCACATGTTCTTGAGTTGGTGAATGAATGAACCACCTGTGCTACCTCTAAAAGATGGACTCGTACTCAGCAATAAAAAGGAATGAACTGATTCATGCAGCAACACAAATGAATTTTGAAAGCATCATGCTTAGTGAAATAAGCCATACTAAGAAGACTGTAATTTCATTTATGTGACATTCTGAAAAAGTCCCACTATAGGGATAAAAGCAGATCAATGGTTAGCTGGTTGTGGAAGTGGGGATGAGGGGGAAGAGGGGTAACTCACAAAAGAGCATGAGGAAATTCTGGAGAGTAATGGAACTTTTCTGTATCTTTACTATGGTGGTAGTTACATGATTATTTGCATTTGTCAAAACTGATACAGCTGTACACTTGAAATGGTGAATTTTACTGTATGTAAATTATATCCAATAAACCAACCTTTACAAATAACATTAGGTACAATTAGACACAACAAAAGGTCAGTGAACCTGAAGACAGGTGAATAGAAATTGAACCTTATTTAAGAAGAAATGTTGACTAAAGAAAGAGAGAGGCTTACAGACCTGTGGGAGAGTATCAAGCAGTGAAACATACATGTAATTGGAGTTTCAGAAAGACAGGAGAGAGAATGGTGTAAAATATTATTTGAAAAAATATTGGCCAAAAATTATCCAAATTAGATCCAAAACAACCTCAGATCCAGGAGATTCAGTGAACCTTCAGCAGGATGAATAAATTATTAAAATTTACCACCACCACCACCCCCCTGCAGTAGTTTGGTAAAAACTACCAAACAAAATTTTAAAAAGCAGCCAGTGAGTGGGGAAAACAACAAAAACCCGTATTACATTTAGGAGGGCAGGGACAAGTAAGAATGACAGCCAGCCAAGTTTTCTTAAGAAAATGTGGTTACAATATGGTTATCTCTGTTAGTGCTGAAAGAAAAATAAAACACCCTAGAATTCTGTATGAAGGAGAATATATTAGTTAACATTTAAAGTCTTTTAAAAAATGTTTTTAACATCTTGCATTCCATTCCTTGTCTCTGTTCACACTGGAAATTACTACTTTGTACTACTTTTTCTGCTAAAGCAGATATCCATTAATTCTGAGGTTTCTCTAATTTTCCAGTGGTCAAATGTCGATTTCCAGTAGTCGAAAATGGAAAACAGATATCAGGATTTGGAAAAAAATTTTACTACAAAGCAACAGTTATGTTTGAATGCGATAAGGGTTTTTACCTCGATGGCAGCGACACAATTGTCTGTGACAGTAACAGTACTTGGGATCCCCCAGTTCCAAAGTGTCTTAAAGGTACAAAGGTTATCTTTTTTCTGTCTTGGTTTGTTATTGTTGTTGCTGTTCATTTTAGACTTTATTTCTTTGATATTAACTATCAGTCATACAAAATAACTGAAAAGAAACAATTTTAGTATTTAACTCTGTCTTGTATTCATTTCTATGCCAGATGAATGACACGAAATTCACATAAAATTCTGCTGTTGTGATTTTTTGTGCTTTTCCAGGGTTCTTAGCACGTTATGTACATTGCATGGGTATATGCTTTTAATATTTTTATGTATAAAAAGTGAATTACAACAACTTTTTGGAATTGAAACATGGGCATTTTTATCTAAGTAAGTCAACAATGGCATAATTCATATAAATGAAATGAGAGCAATAACTCCCAAGTGGTTGATCTTCTAACATTATTTTGTTTCCTAGTGCTGCCTCCATCTAGTACAAAACCTCCAGCTTTGAGTCATTCAGGTTTAGTAGCTTCTTCCTTATATGTCTTCTTCCTTATATGTTACAAGATATAAGGAATTCCTGGAGAAATTGCCAGCAATAACTCCCAAGTGTTTGGTCCAATCTACATTATTATTTTGTTTTCCAGTGTCGACTTCTTCCACTACAAAATCTCCAGCGTCCAGTGCCTCAGGTTTAGTAATTTCCTGCTTATAGTTTTTCAAAAATCCTTTAAATTCCTGGTGATTTTTTATAAAATCCTTCAAATTTCTGGTGATGTTCACTTATTTTTAGTAATGAAAGGAGGGAGGACATTTGTATAGCCATTTTAGTTGTTATACATAGTGATTCTAAAATTATTTGCCATAATCTGATATAAACAGGAATATGACCTTGGGAAAGTTGTATAAATTTTGAATGTGTTTATATATATATGTTTACATTATATATAGAGAAATTGATTTAGTACCTTCCTTATTGGGTATTAGTAAGGTATAAGTGGGATGCATTTAAAGCACTTAGCACAGTGCCTGGTGTAGAGAAAGCTCTTAGAGCTAGCCAATATGACTTATCCTACACTTAAATTAATGTTAGGGAAGGGGAAGGTTCATGTATGTTTGTTAGTATGTGTGTGTGTTAATATGTTAATATGTTTGTTTGTTAATATGTATGTTTTGTGTCATCAACTTTGCTATTTTATTCTTTTCAGAAGTGATCTGTTGACACCTTTACTGAGTTTGTTCCTATTGCAGGACTCTTTCATTTCCTGGAATGCAACTAGTTTGAGTCTTCTGATGTAAAACATTTAAACAGGGAAATTTCTGCTGTCCTCAGAACAAGATCTGTATTTCTGCCTCTTCCCTACCCACCCCTCTTCCACACCTCATAATGTTATTTATTTTTTTTCTCTTTAGTGGGCAGTTTTATCTGGCAATAGCAACTCAATTTTATAGCAACTGAAAGGCAGGAAAAGTCCTTATTTACTGAAATAAAATAGAAGACTTTTGCAGGGACTCCTGGTCAACCACTGTGCTTATGACTGGAGAGATTATTTTGATATGATGGAAGGAATTATCCTGATTTCAGCACTACCATCTCTGGTTTCACTTTGCTTCCAGCAGAAGCAAGAGACAATAGTAATTGTGGGTAGCACTTCAGTCTGGGCAGACTGTGCTTAGTTAACATCATTTCTGTGGTCTTCAGTTTCCCTTTAGTATAATGTGAGTGTTGAACTGAAATCTCAATCACTGGCTTCTAATTTGGTTATATATTTCCTATCTCCCTAATATTTTAAAGGATCGAAGAGAATTATGCATGTTAACATAGTAATTAAGATACCTTCTTATAGGCTGGGTGGGGTAGCTCACACCTGTAATACCAGAACTTTGGGAGGCCGAGGTGGGTGGATCACGAGGTCAGAAGTTCAAGACCAGCCTGGCTAAGTTGGTGAAACCCCATCTCTACTAAAAATACAAAAATTAGCGGGGTGCGGTGGCAGGCACTTGTAATCCCAGCTGCTCGGGAGGCCGAGGCAGGAGAATCGCTTGAACCCAGTGGGCAGAGGTTGCAGTGAGCCAAGATCATGCCACTGCACTCCAGCCTGGGTGACAGAGTGAGACTCTGTCTCAAAACAAAAACCTTCTTATAATTCCTGTAAGAGCTTGGTAACTGGTAGCCTCCTGAGTTGAGTGCTGTAGGGTTTGAGGGGCAGGAAGAGATGAGTTTTTTAGTGGACTGATACATGAGCAAAACAAGATTGCATGTGAAATTTATACTCAGTGAGGCATCCGGGCTTAACTCACATGCTCCTAGTGGGTATATGCACTAATACTACGTTTGTTGATACAGTCTTTTGAAAGAGTTGATGATAAGCATTTCATAAAGTATTTATAAAACACTGGTATAGCTTAGTGTTGGAGAGCAGAAGAGAGAATTGCTTGGGATTGTCAATGATTTCTTATCATCTGCTAGAGGAAGACTAAATAACAACATCATGATGTTAAGGTAGATCTAAATGTGTTAACAAGAAGAAAAGTTGAGGAAGTCCTAAGTGGAAAAGAGAAAGATGTAAATTATGTAGTATCATACTACTTACAGTTTTTAAAAAGATACATATGTTTACCCCAAGCACATTCCCTTTTTTTTTTTTTGAGACAGAGTCTTGCTCTGTCACCCAGGATGGCGTGCAGTGGCGCGGTCTTGGCTCACTGCAACCTCCGCCTCCCGGGTTCAAGCGGTTCTCCTGCCACCTCAGACTCCCAAGTAGCTGGTATTACAGGCACCCACCACTATGCCGGCTAATTTTTTGTATTTTTAGTAGAGACGGGGTTTCTCCATGATGGCCTGGCTAGTCTCGAACTCCTGACCTCAAGTGATTCACCTGCCTCGGCCTCCCACAGTGCTGGGATTACAGGCGTGAGCCACCACACCCATCCTCACATTACTTTCATGATGGTTATCTTCTAAGATTTCCATTATAAAATACAGAGTGTGGTGAGCATTCTTGTACATACATCTTACATACTTGTGCAAATATATATGTAGGTTAAATTCTAAGATGTGGAATTGCAAAGTTTGTAAAGTGTGTAGTTTTCATTTGATAAACTTAAAAAATCAATATCAAAATTAAAGTCATAATTTTATATTGATAAGGCCCTGGTGAATTTATAAAATCAAACTTATTTTTCTAGGTCCTAGGCCTACTTACAAGCCTCCAGTCTCAAATTATCCAGGTTGGTTAACTCTTTATCCTACTGATATTGTTAAGAATTTATTTATTTATTTTTATTATACTTTAAGCTCTAGGGTATGTGTGCACAGCGTGCAGGTTTGTTACATAGGTATACGTGTGCCATGTTGGTTTGCTGCACCCATCAACTCATCATTTATATTAGGTATTTCTCCTAATGCTATCCCTCCCCCAGCCCCTAACCCCTGACAGGCCCCAGTGTGTGATGTTCCCCACCCTGTGTCCATGTGTTCTCGTTGTTCAACTCCTACCTATGAGTGAGAACATGCGGTGTTTGGTTTTCTGTCCTTGTGATAGTTTGATTAGAATGATGGTTTCCAGCTTCATCCATGTCCCTGCAAAGGACATGAACTCATCCTTTTTTATGGCTGCATAGTATTCCATGGTGTATATGTGCCACATTTTCTTAATCCAGTCTATCATTGATGGACATTCGGGTTGGTTCCAAGTCTTTGCTATTGTGAATAGTGCCACAATAAACATACGTGTGCATGTGTCTTTATAGTAGCATGATTTATAATCCTTTGGGTATATACCCAGTAAGGGATTACTGGGTCAAATGGTATTTCTAGTTGTAGATCCTTCAGGAATCACCACACTGTCTTCCACAATGGTTGAACTAATTTACAGTCCCACCAACAGTGTAAAAGTGTTCCTGTTTCTCCACATCCTCTCCAGCATCTGTTGTTCCTGACTTTTTAATAATCGCCAATCTAACTGGCGTGAGTGGTATCTCATTGTGGTTTTGATTTGCATTTCTCTGATGACCAGTGATGATGAGCATTTTTTCATATGTCTGTTGGCTGTATAAATGTCTTCTTTTGAGAAGTGTCTGTTCATATCCTTTGCCCACTTTTTGATGGTGGTGTTTTTTTCTTGTAAATTTATTTAAGTTCTTTGTAGATTCTGGATATTAGCCCTTTGTCAGATGGGCAGATTGCAAAGATTTTCTCCCATTCTGTACGTTGCCTGTTCACTCTGATGATAGTTTCTTTTGCTGTGCAGAAGCTCTTTAGTTTCATTAGATCCCATTTGTCTATTTTGGCTTTTGTTGCCATTGCTTTTGGTGTTTTAGTTATGAAGTATTTGCCCGTGCCTATGTCCTGAATGGTATTGCCTAGGTTTTCTTGTTGGGTTTTTATGGTGTTAGGTCTTACATTTAAGTCTTCAATCCATCTTGAGTTAATTTTTGTATAAGGTGTGAGGAAGGGATCCAGTTTCAGCTTTCTACATACGGCTAGTCAGTTTTCCCAGCACCGTTTATTAAATAGGGAATCCCTTCCCCATTTCTTGTTTTTGTCAGGTTTGTCAAAGATCAGATGGTTGTAGATGTGAGTTGTTATTTCTAAGGCCTCTATTCTGTTCCATTGATCTATATATCTGTTTTGGTACCAGTACCATGCTGTTTTGGTCACTGTAGCCTTGTAGTATAGTTTGAAGTCAGGTAGCTTGATGTCTCCAGCTTTGTTCTTTTTGCTTAGGGTTGTCTTGGCTATATGGACTCTTTTTTGGTTCCATATGAACTTTAAAGTAGTTTTTTCCAATTCTGTGAAGAAATTCAGTGGTAGCTTGATGTGGATAGCATTGAATCTATAAATTACCTTGGGTAGTATGGCCATTTTCCCAATATTGATTCTTCCTATCCATGAGCATGGAATGTTCTTCCATTTGTTTGTGTACTCTTTTATTTCGTTGAGCAGTGGTTTGTAGTTGTCTTTGAAGATGTCCTTCACATCCATCCCTTGTAAGTTGGATTCCTAGGTATTTTATTCTCTTTGTAGCAATTGTGAATGGGAATTCACTCATTATTTGGCTCTCTGTTTGTCTATTATTGGTGTATAGGAATGCTTGTGATTTTTGCACATTGATTTTGTATCCTGAGACTTCGCTGAAGTTGTTTATCAGCTTGTGGAGATTTTGGGCTGAGACGATGGGGTTTTCTAAATATGCAATCATGTCATCTGCAAACAGAGACAATTTGACTTCCTCTTTTCCTAATTGAATACCCTTTATTTCTTTTTCTTGCCTGATCACCCTGGCCAGAACTTCCAACACTACGTTGAATAGGAGTGGTGAGAGAGGGCATCCTTGTCTTGTGCCGGTTTCCAAAGGGAATGTCCAGTTTTTGCCCATTCGGTATGATATTGGCTGTGGGTTTGTCTTAAATAGCTCTTATTATTTTGAGATATATTCCATCAATACCTAGTTTATTGAGAGTTTTTAGCATGAAGGGCTGTTGAATTTTGTCAAAGGCCTTTTCTGCATCTATTGAAATAGTCATGTGGTTTTTGTTGTTAGTTCTGTTTTTGTGATGGATTATGTTTATTGATTTGTTAATGTTGAACCAGCCTTGTATCCCAGGGATGAAGCCAACTTGATTGTGGTGGATAAGCTTTTTGATGTGCTGCTGGATTCAGTTTGCCAGTATTTTGTTGAGGATTTTTGCATCGATGTTCATCAGGGATATTGGCCTAAAATTATCTCTTTTTGTTGCACCTCTACCAGGCTTTGGTATCAGGATGATGCTAGCTTCCTAAAATGAATTAGGGAGGATTCCCTCTTTTTCTGTTGATTGAAATAGTTTCAAAGGAATGGTACCAGCTCCTCTTTGTAGATCTGGTTGAATTCGGCTGTGAATCCATCTGGTCCTGGACTTTTTTTGGTTGGTAGGCTATTAATTATTGCCTCAATTTCAGAACCTGTTATTGGTCTATTCAGAGGTTCAACCTTTCCTGGTTTAGTCTTGGGAGGGTGTATGTGTCCAGGAATTTATCCATTGCTTCTAGATTTTCTAGCTTATTTGTGTAGAGGTGTTTATAGTATTCTCTGATGGTAGTTTGTATTTCTGTGGGGTCAGTGGTGATATCCCCTTTATCATTTTTTATTGCGTCTATTTGATTATTCTCTCTTTACTTCTTTATTAGTCTTGCTAGCGGTCATTTTTGTTGATCTTTTCAAAAAACCAGCTCCTGGAATCATTGAGTTTTTGAAGGGTTTTTTATATCTTTACCTCCTTCAGTTCTGCTCTGATCTTAGTTATTTCTTGCCTTCTGCTAGCTTTTGAATTTGTTTGCTCTTGTTTCTCTAGTTCTTTTAATGGTGATGTTAGGGTGTTGATTTTAGATCTTTCCTGCTTTCTCTTGTGGGCATTTAGTGCTATAAATTTCCCTCTACACACTGCTTTAAATGTTTCCCAGAGATTCTGGTACGTTGTATCTTTGTTCTCGTTGGTTTTAAAGAACAACTTTATTTCAGTCTTCATTTCATTATTTACCCAGTAGTCATTCAAGAGCAGGTTGTTCAGTTTCCATGTATTTGTGTGGTTTTGAGTGAATTTATTAATCCTGATTTGCACTGTGGTCTGAGAGACAGTTTGTTGTGATTTCTGTTCTTTTACATTTGCTGAGGAGTGTTTTCTACCAATTATGTGGTCAATTTTAGAATAAGTGCGATGTGGTGCTGAGAAGAATGTATATTCTATTCATTTGGGGTGTAGAGTTCTGTAGATGATTAGTAGGTCTGCTTGGTCCAGAGCTAGTTCAAGTCCTGGATATCCTTGTTAACTTTCTGTCTCATTGATCTGTCCAATATTGACAGTGGGGTGTTAAAGGCTGCCATTATTATTGTGTGGGAGTCTATGTCTCTTTGTAGGTCTCTAAGGCCTTGGCTTTATGAATCTGGGTGCTCCTGTATTGGGTGCATATATATTTAGGATAGTTAGCTCTTCTTGGTGAATTGATCCCTTTACCATTATGTAGTGGCCTTCTTTGTCTCTTTTGATCTTTGTTGGTTTAATGTCTGTTTTATCAGAAACTAGAATTGCAACCCCTTTTTTTTTTGCTTTCCATTTGCTTGGTAGATCTTCCTCTGTCCCTTTATTTTGAGCCTATGTGCATCTTTGCATGTGAGATAGGTCTCCTGAATATAGCACACCGATGGGTCTTGACTCTTTATCCAATTTGCCAGTCTGTGTTTTTTAATTGGGGCATTTAGCCCATTTTCATTTAAGGCTAATAGTGTTATGTTTGAATTTGATCCTGTCATTATGATGTTAGCTGGTTATTTTGCCCGTTAACTGATGCAGTTTCTTCATAGCATCGATGGTCTTTACCATTTGGTATGTTTTTGCAGTGGCTGGTACCGGTTGTTCCTTTCCATGTTTAGTGCTTCCTTCAGGAGCTCTTGTAAGGCAGGCCTGGTGGCGACAAAATCTGTCAGCATTTGCTTGTCTATAAACTATTTTATTTCTTCTTCACTTACAAAGCTTAGTTTGGCTGGATATGAGATTCTGGGTTGAAAATTATTTTCTTTAAGAATGTTGAATATTGGCCCCCATTCTTTTAAGGCTCGTAGGGTTTCTGCTGAGACATCCGCTGATAGTTGGATAGGCTTCCCTTTGTGGGTAACCTGACCTTTCTCTCTGGCTGCCCTTAACATTTTTTTCCTTCGTTTCAACCTTGGTGAATCTGACGATTATGTGTCTTGGGGTTGCACTTTTCAAGGAGTATTTTTGTGGTGTTCTCTGTATTTCCTGAATTTGAATGTTGGCCTGTCTTGCTAGTTTAGGGAAGTCCTCGTGGACAATATCCTGAAGAGTGTTTTCTAACTTGATTCCATTCTCCCCGTCACTTTCAGGTACACCAATCAAACGTAGATTTGGTGTTTTCACATAGTCCCATATTTCTTGGAGGCTTTGTTTGTTTCTTTTCACTTTTTTCTCTAATCTTGTCTTCTTTTTTTCATTAATCTGATCTTCAATCACTGATATAGTTTCTTTCCACTTGATCGAATCAGCTATTGAAGCTTGTGCATGCGTCACGAAGTTCTTGTGCCGTGGTTTTCAGCTCCATCATGTCATTTAAGGTCTTCTCTACACTGTTTATTCTAGTTAGCCATTCATCTAATCTTTTTTCAAGGTTTTTACCTTCCTCGAGATGGGTTAGAACATCTTAGCTTGGAGAAGTTTGTTATTACTGACCTTCTGAAACCTACTTCTGTTAACTCATCAAACTCATTCTCTGTCCAGTTTTGTTCCCTTGCTGGCAAGGAGCTGTGATCCTTTGGAGGAGAAGAGGCAGTCTGTTTTTTGGAATTTTCAGCTTTTCTGCTCTGGTTTCTCCCATCTTTGTGGTTTTATCTACCTTTTGTCTTTGATGGGGTTTTGGTGTGGATGTCCTTTTTGTTGATGTTGATGCTATTCCTTTCTGTTTGTGTGTTTTCCTTCCAACAGTCAGACCCCTCAGCTGCAGGTGTGTTGGAGTTTGCTGGAGGTCCACTCCAGACCCTGTTTTCTTGAGTATCACCAGCAGAGGCTGCAGAACCACAAATATTGCTGCCTGATCCTTCCTCTGGAAGCTTCGTCCCAGGTGGGGCACCCACCACCTGTTTGAGGTGTTTGTCGGCCGCTACTGGGAGGTCTTTCCCAGTCAGGCTACATGGGTGTCAGGGACCCACTTGAGGAGGCAGTCTGTCCAGTGTCGAAGCTCGAATGCCATGTTCAGAGCACCACTGCTCTCTTCAGAGCTGTCAGACAGGGACGTTTAAGTCTGCAGAAGCTGCTGCGTTTTGTTCTACTATGCCCTGCCCCCAGAGGTGGAATCTATAGAGGCAGTAGCCCTTACTGAGCTGCGGTGGGCTCCTCCAGTTTGTGCTTCCAGTTCTCTTTGTTTACACTGTGAGCTACTCAAGCCTCAGCAATGGCAGACATTCCTCCCCTCATCAGGCTGCAGTGTCGCAGGTCAATCTCAGACTGCTGCGCTAGCAGTGAGCAAGGTTCTGTGAGCGTGGGACCTGCCAAGCCATGCACAGGAGGGTATCTCCTGGTCTGCTGGTTGTTAAGACTGTGGGAAAAGTGCAGTATTTGGTCAGGAGTGTACTGTTTCTCCAGGTACAGTCTGTCACGGCTTCCCTTGGCTAGGAAAGGGAAATCCCCCAAGTCCTTGCGCTTCCGGGTGAGGCGATGCCCCGCCCTCCGTGGGCTGCACTCACTGTCCAGCCAGTCCCAGTGAGATGAACCAGGTATCTCAGTTGGAAATGCAGAAATCACCTGTCTTCTGCATCTATCTCGCTGGAGCTGCACACCAGAGCTGTTCCTATTCAGCCATCTTGGACAAGATTTTTTTTTACTTAAAATTTTTTTAAATTAAAAACTTAAGACATATCTAAAAAAATGTTAAGAATTTTTAAATGATGGGTGAAAAATAACATCTTGTTTTAATTTGCATTTCTTGGTTCTTGGTTTTTAGTTGTTTTTGTTTTTGCTTTTTTGAGACCGGGTCTCACTCTGTTGCCCAGGCTGGAGTGCAGTGGTGCAACCACGGCACACTGCAGCCTCAACCTCCTGGGCTCAGGTGATTCTCCCACCTCAGCCTCCCAGGTAGCTGGAACTACAGGCACCTGCCACCACACCCAGCTATTTTTTTGTGTGTGAATTTTTTGTAGAGACAGGGTTTTGCCATGTTGGCAAGTCTTTTCTCCAACTCCTGGGCTTAAGCGATCCTCCTGCCTCAGCTTCCCAAAGTGCTAGGATTACAGGTGTGACCCACCATGCCCGGCCAATTTACATTTCTTTAATTATCAGTGAATCTGAACTTTTTTTGATCTACATTTATTTATTCATGTGCTTTGTCTATTTTTCTGTTAGGTTTCTAAAATATTTTTCTTAGTGATTTTTGAGAGCTCATTATGAATTAAAGCCCTTTTAATATGAAGTGAACAGTTTTTTCCAGGTTCTTTTGTTTTGTCAGTTTTAAGCTTGTTATACTACTGGATATAGATTACTTTTTATAACTTTTAATTACATGAGTAGTGTATGAATATACTTTTGTAGAATTTCAAACATTACAAAAGTATATAGAGTAAAAGATTAGTTTTATTTTTAACTCATTACCCAAGTTAATCACTGTTAATAGTTTAGGGTTTCTTTTTAAATCTATTTTTGTACATCAACATCTTTTTTTAAAAAGTTTTATTTTAGATTTGGGGGTACAGGTGAAGGTTTGTTACATAAGTAAACGTGTCACAGGGATTTGTTGTACATAACTATTTCATCACCCAGGTATTAAGCCTAGTACCCAATAGTTACCTTTTCTGCTCTTCTTCCTACTCCCACCCTCCCCGGTCAAGTATACCCCAGTGTCTGTTGTTTCCTTCTTTGTGTTCATTAGTTCTTACCATTTAGCCCCCACTTATAAGTGAGAACATGCGGTATTTGGGACGTTCCTGCTGAAGACATGCGCTCGTTCTTTTTTATGGCTACGTAGTATTCCACGGTGTATATGTACCACATTTTCTTTATCCAGTCTGTCATTGATGGGCATTTAGGTTGATTCCTTGTCTTTGCTATTGTGAGCAGTGCTGCAGTGAACATTCATGTGCATATATCTTTATGGCAGAATGATTTATATTTCTCTGGGTATATACCCAGTAATGGGATTGCTGGGTTGAATGGTAGTTCTGCTTTTAGGTCTTTGAGGAATCGCCATACTGCTTCCCACAATGGTGGAACTAAATTACACTCCCACGAACAGCATATAAGTGTTCCCTTTTCTCTACAACCTCACCAGCATCTATTATTTTTTGACTTTTTAATAATAGCCATTCTGACTGGTGTGAAATGGTATCTCACTGCCGTTTTGATTTGCATTTCTCTAATGATCAGTGATACTGAGCTTTTCTTCTGTATGTTTTTTGGCCACATATATGTCTTCTTTTGAAAAGTGTCTGTTCACGTGCTTTGCCCACTTTTTAATGGAGTTGTTTTTCTCTTGTAAATTTTTTTAAGTTCCTGTAAATGCTAAATATTAGGCCTTTGTCAGATGCATAGTTTGCAAAAATGTTCTCCCATTCTGTAAGTTGTCTGTTTACTCTGTTGATAGCTTCTTTTGCTGTGCAGAAGCTCTTCAATTTACTTCAATCGTACTTGTCAATTTTTGCTTGTGTTGCGATTGTTTTTGATGTCTTTGTCATGAAATCTTTGTCTGTTATTATGTCCAGAGTGATATTGCCTAGGTTGTCTTCCAGGGTTTTTATAGTTTTGGGTTTTACATGCAAATCTTTAATCCATCTTGAGTTGATTTTTGTGTATGGTGTAAGGAAGGGATCCAGTTTCAATCTTCTGCATATGGCTAGCCAGTTATCCCAGCACCATTTATTTAATAGGGAATCTTTTTCCCATTGCTTGTTTTTGTCAGTTCTGTGGAAGATCAGATGGTCATAGATGTGCAGCCTTATTTCTAGGCTCTCTATTCTGTTCCATTGGTGTATATGCCTGTTTTTGTACCAGTACCATGCTGTTTTGGTTAGCGTAGCCTTGTAGTAGAGTTTGAAGTCAGGTAATGTGATGCCTCCAGCTTTGTTCTTTTTGCGTAAGATTTTCTTGACTATTCAGGCTCTTTTTGGCTCCATATGAATTTTAAAATAGTTTTTTCTAGTTCTGTGAAGAATGTCGTTGGTAGTTTGATAGGAATAGCATTGAATCTGTAAATAGCTTTGGGCAGTATAGCCATTTTAATGATATTGATTCTTCCATCCATGAGCATGGGATGTTTTTCCATTTGTTTGTGTCTTCTCTGATTTCTTTGAGCTGTGTTTTATAATTCTCATTGCAGAGATGTTTCACCTCCCTGGTTAGCTGTATTCCTAGGTATTTTATTCTTTTTGTAGTAATTTTGACTGGGATTGCCTCTCTGATTTGACTCTCAGTTTGGCTGTTGTTGGTGTATAGGAATGCTAGTGATTTTTGTATATTGATTTTGTATCCTGCAACTTTGGTGAAGTTGTTTATCATCTGGAGCAGCTTTTAGGCCAAGACTGTGGGGTTTTCTAAATATAGAATCATGTTGTCTGTGGACAGAGATAGTTTGACTTCCTCTCTTCCTATTTGGATGCCCTCTGTTTCTTTCTCTTATCTGATTGCTTTGCCTAGGACCATCAACATACTTTTATGTGTAATTATACATGTAGTTTGGTGTTTTCTCTTTTCTTAAAAATGATATTATGCTGTACATATTTTTCTGCAACTTTTTCCACTTACACTCTTAGATTGTAGTTGTGTTTAGATTTATTCTCATACTTTCTAATGATGACTTAAGTATATACCATACCTTATTTAACTATTCTCCTATCAGAGGTCATTTATATGTTCAGACGTTTTATATTAATAGGTAGTTGGATGTATTGATCTTTTCCCTAATGGCTATGACTTTGGTGTCTTTCTTACTAAAACTTTAGGTCTTCTGTATGCTGAAATTGTATGAAGATTTCAACCATGTGTTCTGACTTTGGTCTTTGCACTTAAATCATTAGTAAATCTGAAATTTATTCTGGTGTATATAATGAGATATATGGTTCCACCTCGCCCCACCCCAGCAACCACCATCCAATAGCTAAATAGCACCATTTTTTGAATAAGTTGTCTTCTCCCCAACTGATTTGAAATGTCAATTTGTATCATACATTGCATTCATAGGTGTTCCATCCTCTTTTCTCCTTTGAACTTTGTCCATTCTTCTATTCTTGTAGCAAAAGCAAGTCTTTTTTTTTTTTTTTTTTTACTGTAGTACTATATGTTTTAATAACTGCCGGGAACACTTCCTTTTCAGAAATTTCTAAGGAACTCTATGTTATTTTTTCCAAATAAACTTTTTATCTTATCATTTTGACCATTTTAAGTTTACAATTCAGTGGCATTCAGTACACTGACATTGTTATGTAACCATCAGTACCATCCATCTCTAGAATATTATAATCATCCCACACTGAATCTCTACTCATTAAACAGTAACTCTCCATTCCTCCCTATCCCCATCACCTGATGATAACCACTATCTACTTTTTGTCTCATGAATTTGCCTATTCTAGGTAAATTTATATAATTATAATAAGTGGAGTCCACTTATATGGCATCCCACTATTTGTCCTTTTGTGTGTGGCTTATTTTACTTAGCATAATGTTTTTAAGGTTCATCTAGATCTATCTTGTGACATGAATCAGAACTTCATTCCTTTTTATGGCTGAATAATAGTTCGTTATATGTATATACTATATTTCATTTATTCATTCATCTGTTGCTAGACACTTGGGTTGGTTTGTTTTTACCTTTTGGCTATTTTGAGTAATGCTGTTATAAACATAGGTGTACACATATCTGTTTGAGTTCCCGTATTCAGTTCTTTTAGGTATATACCTGGGAGTAGAATTGCTAGATCATAAGGGAATTCTATTTTTAATATTTTGAGGAACTGGCATACTGTATTCCACAGTGGCTGCACCATTTTACATTCCCACCAGCAGTGGGAACCTTTAACAAAGGTTCCAATTTTTCCACATCTCCACCAACACTTATTAAATTGTTTTTTTAGTAATAGCCAAGTGTCTTAGTCTGTTTTGTATGTGATAACAGAATACCACAGACTGAGTAACTTATAATGAACAGAAATTTATTTCTTAGAGTTCTGGAGGCTGAGAAGTCTAATATCAAGGCATGGGCATCTGTGAGGGCCCTCTTGCTTTGTCATAATATGATGGAAGGCATCACATGGTGGAAAGGAAAAGAGACGGTGAGAGAGAGAGTAAGAGGGACAAAACCATGCCCTAAATAACAAACACACCCCTGCAATAACGACATTAGTCCATTCATGAGGACAGAGCCATAATGACCCAAACACCTCTTAAAGGCGCCACCCCAATAACATTACATTGACAATTAAATTTCATCATGAGTTTTGAAGGGGACATTCAAACCATAGACCGTCCTAATAGATATGAAGTAGATATGCATACTAGATATGCATTTCCCTAAAAATTAGAAATGTGTTGAGAATCTTTTCATGTGCTTATTGGTCATTTGTATATCTTCTTTAGAGAAACATCTTTTTAAGTCTTTTGCCCATTTTCAAGTTGGGTTGACATTTGTTACTGAGTTTTAAGAGTTATTTATATGTTCTGGATATTACTTCCTTATCAAATATATGATTTACAAATATTTCCTCTCATTCTGTGGGTTGCCTTTTCACTCTGTTGATAGTGTCATTTGATGCACAAAATTTGCTTTTAATTGATGAAATATAATTTTTTTCTTGTCTTGCCTGGGCTTTTAGAGTCACATCCAATAAATCATAGCCAGATCAAATGTCAAGAAGCATTTCCTCTGTTTTCTTCTGAGAGTTTTATAGTTTTACCTCTTATGTTTAGGTCTCTGATCTATTTTGAGTTTGTGTTTGTATATGATAAGGGTCCAGCTTCACTTTTTTTGCATGTGGATATCCAGTTTTACCAGCACCATTTGTAGAAGAGACTCCCTTTCCCCATTTGACTGTTCCTTGTCACGCTTGTTGAAAACCGTTTGACCATATATGCAGGGGTTTATTTCCGAGGTCTCTGTTCTATTCCATTGGTCTGTATGTCTGCCTTTTTGTCATTACCATTGTTTTGATTATTATAGTTTTGGAATCAGAAAGTGTGAGCCTTCTCAACTTTGCTCTTTGTTTCTAGGATTGTTTTGGCTATTTGTGGTCCCTTGAGATTTCATATGTATTTTGGAATGGATTTTTCTATTTCAGAAAAAAAAAACCAAAAAATACCATCATCAGGATTTTCATAGGGGTTGCACTAAATCTGAAGATTGCTTTGTATAGTATTGACAGTTTAAAAATACTAAATTTTTCCAATCCATAAACACAAGTGTCTTTCCATTTATTTTATATCTTTAATTTTTTTTAGCAGTTTTGTAGTTTTCAGTGTACAAGTCTTTCACCTCCTTAGTTTATTCCTAAGTATTTTATTCTTTTTGATGCTATTACAAATGATATTGTTTTCTTAATTTCCTTTTCAGATTATTCATTGTTAGTGTATAGAAATACAACTGAGTTTTGTATGTTGATTTTGTAACCTGCCACTTAACTGAATTCATTTATTAGTTCTAAGAGATTTTTGCATGTGTGTGTATATGTGGGATCCTTAGGGTTTTCTAAATAAAAGATCATGTCATCTGCAAACAGAGCGAATTTTATTTCTTCCTTTCTAATTTGAATTTCTTTTTCTTACCTAATTGCTCTGATTAGAACTTTCAGTCCTATGTCAGATAGAAGTGGCAAACATGGACACCCTGTCTTGTTCCTGATCTTAGGGAAAAAGCCTTCATTCATTTAACATTGAGTATGATGTTAGCTGTGGGTTTTTAATATATGGCCTTTATTATGTTGAGGAAGTTTCCTTCCATTTCAGGTCAACTCTAAAGCATTTATTTTTATTAATCCCTCTTTTTTTTTTTTTTTTTTTTTTTTTTGAGACAGAGTCTCGCTGTGTTGCCAGACTGGAGTGCAGTGGCTGTGTCTCGGCTCACTGCAACCTCCGCCTCCCGGGTTCAAGCGATTCTCCTGCCTCAGCCTCCCAAGTAGCTGGGATTACAGGCACGCACTACCACACCCAGCTAATTTTTGTTTTTTTTTTTTTTAGTAGAGACGGGGTGTCACCATGTTGGCCAGGATGGTCTCGAACTCCTGACCTCGTGATCCGCCTGCCTCGGCCTCCCAAAGTGCTGGGATTACAGGCGTGAGCCACTGTGCCCGGCTAATCCCTCTATCTTTTAATTTTAATTAGAATCACATTGGATTTATAGACTAATTTTGAGAAAATAGTACAGATAAATTTGCATGTTGAACCACAGAATGTTGTCACAGAAAATGTGAGTGGGGAGGAAGAAGAAAGATTATGACATTAAATGTAAGTTTATAAATTTTTATGATACTACTTTGAGAAACATTAATATAGTTTATAAGGAAAATTATATTTTAAGGGATTTTCTACAAAGGTGAAAAAAAATCACCCTATGAGTTTAAAGGATTTTAAGCTTTATATTTAATTCTTTCCTTCTTTTATTAATTTAATCTATATTTCTTCTTTTTTCCTAGGATATCCTAAACCTGAGGAAGGAATACTTGACAGTTTGGGTTGGTATAGCTATCATGACAAATATAAGTGGTAGTATGTGTAGAAACGTGTAGGTAATTAGTTTTTATGAGGTGCCCAAACATAGGATCCTTGGTAGGGTAAGATAACTTTCTTAAATGCTGTGTTTGTATGTAGGTTAAAATATATAAAACACAATTTTCTTTCCACATTATATTGTTATTTTGTGATGGTAATCTGTCGATAAATTTTCTTTCTATTCATATCTTATATACATGAACCTTAAAGCAATCTAAGTTGGGTTTATTTTTTCTGTAACACGCTGATTTAACACACTTGATGTAGGCTTACGCAGTTTACACAATGCATGTTAAAAAAAAAGATGAAGTGCAGTTGTGATATAGGCCAATGAAAAATAAAGATTTCTTAATAAGTAAAAACAAAAATCTATTACCTTTCATTTCTTAGACTAGTTTGGTAATGGTTAATCATTTTATATAATGCACCTTAGGCTTGTTTTTTAGTATTTGCCTTACCTCCAAAATCTGTGGTCCAAGTAAATCTGTTGCCATCTTAAACTGTTAAACACTTGATAACTGTTTATGAGATGAGAAGAGCAGAGTTGAACATAGCACTTTATGCTTTGACTTATAGCAATTTAATAAAAGTAATGGCAGTTTAGAAGCAAAGGTACTAGGGACAGAAACAGTTCTAAAAATTAAGATTTTATAGGATTATTTTGTGTTCTCTAGATAGTCAAAAATGTATTCTCAAATTTCTCTGTATATTTTTTATCCATGTGCCCTGGTGTTTCATTTATTATGGGAATCCTATTGGTATTTAGGACTATGTCTTAATTTTGGGGCAGGGCAGAGTATGGAAGTAGAGAGGATGGGAAGGGGATTGATAAGATAAAGTATTGTTTGTGAAGACTTTGTAAATACCATCTGGGCAATAGAATAATAGAAATTTATTTATGACTCACTCTACAGATCACTTTTGGAGGAAAAAATACAAATTAAATGTCTACCAAAATAAGAAATGACAGAATGACTGTTGAACTAAACCAACTCTCATGGGATAATACTTTTCAAAAATCATTTTCCTTTACTATAGTGAATTCTAATTACTCTAATAACTTTACCGCTAAATAACCTGATGTGGTAGCTATAGAGAAAAACAGTGAAAAATGAGGTTCCCATTAAGAGTTTCACAAGTGGAACCCTTAACCTGGAAACTGGTTAGAAGGGTTCTATGATCAAAATGACCTGGATGCCCTAGCAGTCATGCTAAAACTATATAAAAAATTTTTTTTTCCTCTGTAGTCTTGTATTAGTCCATTCTCAATGCTGTTGTAAGGAACAGTCTGAGACCGGGTAATTTATAAAGGAAAGAGATTTAACTGACTCAGTTCTGCAGGGCTGAGGAGGCCCCAGGAAACTTATAATCATGGAGGAAGGGGAAGCAAACACATTCTTCTTCACATGATGGCAGGAAGGAGAAGTATGAGAACCAAGTGAAGGAGGAAGCCGCTTATAAAACCATCAGATCTCGTGAGAACTTACTATCATGAGAATAGCATGGGGGAAACTGCCTCCATGATTCAATTACCTCTCATGGGGTCCCTCCCACAACACGTGGGGATTATGGGAATTGCGATTCAAGATGAGATTTGGGTGGGGACACAGCCAAACCATATCAAGTGTTTAGATGATCTGATTGAAATAAATGCTATCTGGAGATCCATGTGTTCAACATCTTGGAACTGTTTTCTTTCTCAGATGTTTGGGTCATTGCTGTGATTGTTATTGCCATAGGTAAGTATCACAAATTTTGACACCACTTAAGTCAAAAAATTATTGTGAAGACATGCATTTTAAAAATAGTTTTTCAGTTTCTATAGTTTTTTCAGCTTGTAAATTGGTTAAACCGATTTAGGAAAACCTGACTTTTTATTTGATATACTTAACTACCTACCTTGTGTTAGTGATTTTATACTCTGTTATATTCTGTATATCTACTTAGTAACAAAGCCTAAGTAATACATATTTTCTCAAGATGATCAGTAATATTAGTTGGCTTCCCAAATGTGCTTTTGATAGTTTTCTAAATTAAGCAAGGACTTTTCTCTGACTTACTATGGACTGTGTAAGTGATTATGGGGAGTTGGATTTAGATAGCAAAGAGTCTGGATGGAATATAAATGTGTAGGTGCTTAAATAACATTTGACCACTGAAATGTAACCAACATTTATTTCTTCTGCTAGATGTTGAATCTTGGTGATTAGTTTTCAGAATTATATGTCATTTGTTTCCTGGTTTCTTATAGTTGTTGGAGTTGCAGTAATTTGTGTTGTCCCGTACAGATATCTTCAAAGGAGGAAGAAGAAAGGGTAAATTAAAGCATGTTTCTTTTAACTTCTTGGTCCTTCTTATACTTAACATGCTTTTGTGCAGCTTCAGTTTGTAATCTGTATTGCATGCTATCTTTTTTTTTTTTTTAAAAAAATGCCTGCATTAGTTTGTCCTACCAATTGCATTTCTTTGCTAAAAATATTTTCAGCTACTTCTAACATCACTGCAACATAAAAACATCTGTGCAGAGTTCCTACAGCTATTATGACTTTAAGAAAAATTTCTTTTGGATTTGAGGTTTAAGTTATTTAGCAAATCATGGACCACTCACTATGAGGCCTTCTCTACCCTATTCCCTATTTCCAAAATTGCACTAATGGCCAAAATTAAATTTAAAGTATTTCACTGTGGAGACTTTGACAGTTGTATTCACTGGAATTTTTATAATGAAAGTTTCCACTTGTCTATATAGCTTAGCTAGTTGCAAGAAGCTATGTAGGCATATCATTTAAATACCCAATTTGGTGTCTTTTCATTTAAAGTTGTTATTTATACATGTTAAACTGGGGGATTCAAAACAACACTATCCGATTTCCCTCTTATGTTCTCTGAATTTACCAGATTGCAGTAAAACTGATAGGGTTAAAGTTAAAATTGCTGAGAGGGGTTAGATCTATAAGGTACCTCAATTAACTGTGTCTTTTAATATATAAAAATGTAAAAAGTGAGTGGGTTTAGAATAGAAGAAAAATGTACAAGTACATATCTTCTAAAGAAAATAGGGTTTTAAAACATCAAACTCAAATTTTAGTTAAAGAGCTTACAGTTTAACAAAAGACTTAGAATGAATCCTGGAACACAGACTAAGATTAGGTGCTTTGAAATTTCTGAAAGATAATATACATTCATTTTTACTGATTTTTAAAAACTGTTTTCCCCTATAGTTTTAGAAATAGCTTTGAAATCAAACCTAATAATTTTAAGACTTTTGGTACTCATGGTTTTATGATATATATTCCTTTTATACTGATCATCAGGTTTGGGCTAAGTCATAAAAGTACAAGCTTTACTCATAAGGAACTCAAACTTTTTTCATATTACTTGGTTATCTTTTGAAATACCCATAATCCCTTCACTTGAATCTTAAATCTTGTATTAATGGAACACGATATGCATATTTGATTTATCTATCAGTTGTATATTCTAAAAGTTACATATCTACAACGTGAGTACAAAATATTATCAATGGAATATTTTTACAAATCCATAAGGTTTGCGTAGAAACAAGTTCTAAAGAAAACAAAACAAAGTCGCATTCTGCTTATTTTCCTTCTTTGTTTAAAATATCACTGCATCAGAATTTTTAAAGGTTCATTAACAAGTATTAATCAAACTCTCTCTAGCTAGCAGTTAATGGTTTTTCTGTTGTTGTTTTTTGCTTTTTTGTGATGGAGTCTTGCTCTGTCACCCAGGCTGGAGTGCAATGGCGCAATCTTGGCTCGCTGCAACCTTGGCCTCCTGGGTTCAAGGGATTCTCTGCCTCAGCCTCACGAGTAGCTGGGATTACAGTCGTGCACCACCACCACCGGCTAATTTGTTGTACCTGTACTAGAGATGGGGTTTCACCATGTTGGTCAGGCTGGTCTTGAACTCCTGACCTCAGGTAATCCGCCCACCTCGGCCTCCCAAGGTGCTAGGATTACAGGCATGAGCCACCGCGCCCGGCCTTAATGGGTCTTTTAAAGCTCAACAGTTATCTGACTGTTACACTCCCAAATGAAAGGTTCAATAGCAGTAGTGAACTGAGATTCCAAAATTAATTTGTCCAGTGATTTTTTTTTAAAGCCCATATTTTACAGCATAGGGTCCAACTGACAGTTGCCATTATTAAAATTTTAAAATATTTTGGGAAGGTATGATATCTTTAGCCAATGCAACATAATTAATCCTGCAAATAGTAGCACAACTTGAGGAAAAATAGTCCAGAAAATGGTGTGAGAGACGAAACTCCTAATTGCCTTTGAACTTTAAAATATAAACTGCGTGGGAATCTTTTAGAATAGATGTTACCCTTTTTATGACAGGAACATACTCGATTGGAAATTCAGCATATGTAATGGCTGAATCCAAAGCTAGGCTCTCTTTATGGATCTATTATTTTGTAGTTCCATGTTATTTTGATAGCTGAACTGAATGTGAGGGTGGTTTATCTTTCTTCTTCAGAGTCTAGAGGAATGTTTCTCTGACTTTAATGTGCACATTAGTCACCTGGAAATCTGTTAAAGTACAGATTCTGATTCATTGGGTTTGGGGTGGAGCCTGAGACCCTGCCTGTCTAGTGAGCTCCCAGTGCTGATGCTGCTGCTGTGCCTGGGCTACACTGACCAGGGTGTTGCCCACTACTGATGTGCCTATATTGTTGAAGTCTGAAGAAACACTATGAAGCTTATTGGCAAATTTTTCTAATATTTAAGATAATTGAAGTTTTTAAGATTCCTCATCCATGTGTATCCTTAAAAAAAGGCTATGGGGTAATAAATAGTACTTGGCTTTTCTTACCTTCTTTAACTCTTAAAAAACAAAGATTTCCAGCCGGGCCTGGTGGCTCACGCCTGTAATCCCAGCACTTTGGGAGGCCGAGGCGGGCAGATCACGAGGTCAGGAGATCAAGACCATCCTGGCTAACACGGTGAAACCCCGTCTCTACTAAAAATACAAAAAAAAAAAAAAAAAAATAGTGGCGGGCGCCTGTAGTCCCAGCTACTCTGGGAGGCTGAGGCAGGAGAATGGCGTGAACCCCGGAGGCGGAGCTTGCAGTGAGCGAGATTGCGCCACTGCACTCCAGCCTGGGTGACGGAGTGAGACTCCATCTCAAAAACAAAAAACACAAAAAAACCCCAAAGATTTCCATTATTTTCTTTGCACTGTTTAATGTCCATAATCTTGTCCCCCCAGATTGGCTGTTGTGGCCTTAGAAACTTCTTATAAAGACTATAAAATGTCTGGAGGCACTTCTCCACTTCCGGGGGTAACTGGAAGCAGGCTAGCAGGCACAAATAATCTCAAATTGTTGTTAAAGCCTGGCACAAAATGTATTTCTTGTAAACTGGTATTTATGGTGATTTGGGAACGTAATTACTCTTCTGCAGCCTTCATCTCAAAATACAAAAATAGTGTAAGGAGTCATTTTAAGATCATCCAACATCATTTACATTACTTGATAAAAAGTGGGCAAAAGGTTAAAGTATTCTGCCACTTTTCTGTTTCATAGCTCTCAGCTGAGAACAGTATAGGATACCAGTGGGTCCGAAACAGGTCCCATCCACATGCTCCCTCCTTTTCCCTTCCCATTTCCTTTCTTTACTAATTCTTCTACCATACTTTTTAGTCTTGGAAGCCACAGCCCTGTCTTTGCTACTGCTTCAGTCCTGTATTGCATGGCATGACTGTGCTTCTGAACAACAGATGCCTTTTGTTTACATAAATATTTAAGTAATGGTTTTTTTTAAATGCATGATTATTTTTTAACTCTAGTTAAGCATCCCTGGATAAGTGACAGTTTGGCTAAGTTAGTGAAAGTTATTTACATAATTTATATATTTATTACCTGTGACAAATAGTTTTTCCTTTTTTCCATTAATGGTATTTATTATTTTGTATAACCTAAACTGACTTTTAATGTTACATTAATATTGACTGACCCAATTACTTTATTAAAAATAGTGGTCAGTTCAGGTAATTGGGGCATATAGTGACATGGGGCAAAAAAAGGATCAAATTAACTTAAATGTTTTTCTAGTTGGCCCTTAAATTCTTGAGCATTTAACCCTTCAAAAATTTTTGAGCAACTACAAAAATGTTTTGTAATTAGTTTAGAAAGCATCCTTACAAAATTAGATCCATCTCAGAAATATGAGACGCCATGTAATACAAAGTTTTGCAACGATGTCTCCTCAGGTTGAAAACAGATGTGCCACAGGAAGACACTTCTTAATGTAAAAGTCCAGAGACATCTGAAAATACATGATGTCATAAAGTTGATTTCTAGATAATATTACATGGATTTGATACATACTCAATGTATTCCCTCAAAATTGAGGGTGTTAGGCCGGGTTTGGTGGCTCACGCCTGTAATCCCAGCAACTTTGTGAGGCCGAGGCAGGCCGATGGCTTGAGCTCAGGAGTTTGAGATCAGCCTGGGCAACATAGTGAGATGCTGTGTCTTGAAAAAAAAAAAAAAAAAAAAAAAAAAAATCAAGAGTGCTAGAGACCGGTACCATTTCTCCCCAACAATCTGTTATTCCTTGAAAACATTTTGACATGAATCACTTCATGCAAAATGGCTTCAAAGATAAACATATTAAACAGGAATTTCCAGTCTGTTTATCTGCTGGATGATCTATATGACTTCAAAGTTCAAGTAGCTTCTAGCACAAAATTCATGTTTCCAGTCCTTCAGTGAGAATGAGAAAGTCTTAAGTTATGAACCTAATTCTCAGCTTTCCTGCTACTCTCTTACACTGGATTTTATCCCACTTGTTATGCTACTCGTTTCTTTTTGGTTTGAAGTCACTATTTTATTCAGCCGTTTTCTCTTCCTCTGTTCAGCACATACCTAACTGATGAGACCCACAGAGAAGTAAAATTTACTTCTCTCTGAGAAGGAGAGATGAGAGAAAGGTTTGCTTTTATCATTAAAAGGTATCTGTTTTCTGTTGTTTATTTTCAGATGTCCTTTCTTTTGAAAAATATTCAGTGGATATATAGATATCAATAACCTGAGCAAAGAGATATTGGCAGTAAATATCAAAGAGGAAATTTACATTCCTGTTCCCTTTGCTAAATTATTGATGTGTTCTTATACCATTCCCTTTGAAAACATAATGTGTACTGACAGGCTTTGACGTAGGCTTTAAATAGAGTTATGTTCCCCTAGTCCTTTTATCAGACGATCTCACTTCTACCTTGTAAAACAGCTGTGAATCCAAAAGTAAGAATTTGTGAGCCAACTGGGAAATAACCACAGAATCAACTCATTTTAAGTGCAAGGAGGAAAAATGCCCTTTTATAGAAACCAAAATATATTTTACTTAGTTTTGTAAATTTATTCAATTCCAACGTATAAATAACTCTGTAAAGACATTTTATCAGTTTCCCTGGGCTGGGATATTTTTAGCATATCAAAGGAAAACAAAAAAGTCCTCAGATTTTGAAAAGTAATGGATTGCATTGCCTTAAACCCTTGGACCCTGTCCACCTTCTGTCTTTGAACTGAACTGGAATTATTCCTCTGTTTGTGCTAGAATGTGTGTCCGCAGAGCTGGGAAGAGATGGAGATACATATCCCACCTCTTATAATGTGAGGCCCTAACCTAGGTTATAATTAAAAGTTTGGGAGCAGGATCTACAAAGGCCAGCTGGAAGGACAATTTCTTAGTAAAAGCAAAGTGATGTCTTTGGTTACAGGAGGAAAGGGAAAGACAAAACATACCAACCAGAATTGGCGGTCTGGGCCTACCCAGTCCTATATACAGTAGTTCCTTCTTATCCACGGGGGATACATTCCAAAACCTCTAGTGGTTGCCTGAAACCTGGGAGAGTACTAAACCTTATATATACTGTTTTCTCTTAAGCATGTATACCTATGATCATTCAATTTATAAATTAGGCACAGTAGGAGATTAACAGCAATAACTAATAACTAATAATATCAATTATAAAAATATGCCAGCATCACTACTCTTGTGCTCTGAGGCCACTAAGTAAAATAAGGGTTACCTAACCACAGGTACTGTGATACCGTGACAGTCAATCTGATAACCAAGACAGCTATTGAGTAACAGGCACATAGTGTCCACAGCATGGGTATGCTGGACGAAGGGATGATTTATATCCCGGGAGGGATGGAGTGGGACAGTGTGAGATTTCATCATGATACTCAGAATGGCACACAATCTAAAACGTAGTTCTGTAATTTTCCATTTAATATTTTTGACCGTATTTGACTATGGGTAACTGAAACCGTGCAAAGTGAAACCGTGGATAAGGGAAGCCTACTATATCTTCTTAGTCTCTTAGGACACTTTTGAGACTAAAGCCAACTAGGAAAATAGTTTTTAGACTCTCTCTGAGCTTCAGGGTATCTGTAAACATTTGAAGATAATTTAATGAATGCTGTAGTTAATATTTTGCCATCTTCAAAATAGCTTCATTGTTATATCCAATAAATGTTTCTTTAAATTTATGTTAATGCCTTTTATCTTTGGCATAGATTGGATTTTTATTTAAAACTTTATTTAAAGAAAGAGATTCTACTACTATGGGAAAAAAATATTTACTTAGAAAAATATAGTGGTGGCCAGTCCTGGTGGCTCACACCTATAATCCCAGCACTTTGGGAGGCCGAGGCGGGCGGATCACTTAAGGTTTGAGACCAGGTTGGCCAAAATGGTGAAACCCTGTTTCTACTAAAAATACAAACATTAGCTGGGCATGGTGGTGCACACCTGTAATCCTAGCTACTCAGGAGGCTGAGGCACAAGAATTGCTTGAACCTGGGAGGAGGAGGTTGCAAGTGAGCCAAGATCACACCACACTGCACTCCAGCCTGGGTGACAGAGCAAGACTCTGTCTCAAAGGAAAAAAAATAAAGAAAAGAAAAGAAAAATATAGTGGTCTTGGAGAATTCAGTGACAGGCCAAACCATTAAGTCTGTCATCACAACAGTCCTTAGGGAACTGCAATATTATAAGTATAGTAATGACGCAGTAGAGAACCATAATGATGGCCTCCCCGGCAAAGAAGAACCAACCCGTTTACGCCTGAGGTTGCAATTTTTTGAATTTTTGCAGTCAGACCCTGGCGATGACCTTGAGCAGTAGGAGATAAATTCCACATGCTTAGCGTTCCAGTAATGGAACACTAGGCATAAATGGGTTATTAAAGTATCCAGAATTAACATGCTTAGCTGTGACATTGGAAAGGCAATGTGTTTGCTGTGGCACACATACTAGTAAATAATGACTGGTCCGAATTTGGTTTTCGTTTGTCTATTAAAGTCAATTTACTAAGGCAGGGAGGGCCCAGAGCTGTGCTGTCCAGTTCAATAGCCATGCGTGACTGCTAAGGACTTCCAAAGTGGCTAGTCCAATGTCAGGTATGCTGCAAGTGTCAAACACACACTGGATTTCAAAGACTAAGCCAAAAAAATGTAAAATACATCTCAATATTTTGGTTATACTCGGTTAAAGAAAATAAAATTATTTTTGCCTTTTTATGTTTTTAAAAGTGGCTTCTGGAAAATTTTAAATTACATGTATGACTGGCATCATCTGTCTTTGGCCAGCACTAGACTAGAATAATAGGTTTTATAAAGATGTCTATTGTTATACTAAAAGTGTGACGTAAACTTTAGTTATTTAGGAGACTCTTAGTGGAATACATGATTTTCTTGACAGTGAGGGGTAGATGAGGCATCACATACTTGAACAGTTAGAACCACTATCTTTTTAAAGGTTCTGTGCCAGAGCTACAGCTTTAAAATGGAGGGATCAGGAAAGCATGCGTTTGTCTCCAGTCTTTCCCATTGGCCCTACATCAAAATGAGGACATAGTTACTAAGTACTTTGTGTGCTACTGCTCTATTTCTTGTTTTGGAGGGGATCAAAAATATAAGACAGGGATAAAGGAAGGTTTTTTTTACAGTGAGACCAGTTGAACATTTGAAATTATTTTAAAAGAATAATTTATTTCCCAGGTTGGTGGCTCATTACTATATTTTTTTAATTGTTCATTTTCTGAATAGGCTTCTGGAATTTAATTTCTGTACTTAATTATATTTATCTTTGACATGATCTTTATACCTTGGTTTGCAGGAAAGCAGATGGTGGAGCTGAATATGCCACTTACCAGACTAAATCAACCACTCCAGCAGAGCAGAGAGGCTGAATAGATTCCACAACCTGGTTTGCCAGTTCATCTTTTGACTCTATTAAAATCTTCAATAGTTGTTATTCTGTAGTTTCACTCTCATGAGTGCAACTGTGGCTTAGCTAATATTGCAATGTGGCTTGAATGTAGGTAGCATCCTTTGATGCTTCTTTGAAACTTGTATGAATTTGGGTATGAACAGATTGCCTGCTTTCCCTTAAATAACACTTAGATTTATTGGACCAGTCAGCACAGCATGCCTGGTTGTATTAAAGCAGGGATATGCTGTATTTTATAAAATTGGCAAAATTAGAGAAATATAGTTCACAATGAAATTATATTTTCTTTGTAAAGAAAGTGGCTTGAAATCTTTTTTGTTCAAAGATTAATGCCAACTCTTAAGATTATTCTTTCACCAACTATAGAATGTATTTTATATATCGTTCATTGTAAAAAGCCCTTAAAAATATGTGTATACTACTTTGGCTCTTGTGCATAAAAACAAGAACACTGAAAATTGGGAATATGCACAAACTTGGCTTCTTTAACCAAGAATATTATTGGAAAATTCTCTAAAAGTTAATAGGGTAAATTCTCTATTTTTTGTAATGTGTTCGGTGATTTCAGAAAGCTAGAAAGTGTATGTGTGGCATTTGTTTTCACTTTTTAAAACATCCCTAACTGATCGAATATATCAGTAATTTCAGAATCAGATGCATCCTTTCATAAGAAGTGAGAGGACTCTGACAGCCATAACAGGAGTGCCACTTCATGGTGCGAAGTGAACACTGTAGTCTTGTTGTTTTCCCAAAGAGAACTCCGTATGTTCTCTTAGGTTGAGTAACCCACTCTGAATTCTGGTTACATGTGTTTTTCTCTCCCTCCTTAAATAAAGAGAGGGGTTAAACATGCCCTCTAAAAGTAGGTGGTTTTGAAGAGAATAAATTCATCAGATAACCTCAAGTCACATGAGAATCTTAGTCCATTTACATTGCCTTGGCTAGTAAAAGCCATCTATGTATATGTCTTACCTCATCTCCTAAAAGGCAGAGTACAAAGTAAGCCATGTATCTCAGGAAGGTAACTTCATTTTGTCTATTTGCTGTTGATTGTACCAAGGGATGGAAGAAGTAAATATAGCTCAGGTAGCACTTTATACTCAGGCAGATCTCAGCCCTCTACTGAGTCCCTTAGCCAAGCAGTTTCTTTCAAAGAAGCCAGCAGGCGAAAAGCAGGGACTGCCACTGCATTTCATATCACACTGTTAAAAGTTGTGTTTTGAAATTTTATGTTTAGTTGCACAAATTGGGCCAAAGAAACATTGCCTTGAGGAAGATATGATTGGAAAATCAAGAGTGTAGAAGAATAAATACTGTTTTACTGTCCAAAGACATGTTTATAGTGCTCTGTAAATGTTCCTTTCCTTTGTAGTCTCTGGCAAGATGCTTTAGGAAGATAAAAGTTTGAGGAGAACAAACAGGAATTCTGAATTAAGCACAGAGTTGAAGTTTATACCCGTTTCACATGCTTTTCAAGAATGTCGCAATTACTAAGAAGCAGATAATGGTGTTTTTTAGAAACCTAATTGAAGTATATTCAACCAAATACTTTAATGTATAAAATAAATATTATACAATATACTTGTATAGCAGTTTCTGCTTCACATTTGATTTTTTCAAATTTAATATTTATATTAGAGATCTATATATGTATAAATATGTATTTTGTCAAATTTGTTACTTAAATATATAGAGACCAGTTTTCTCTGGAAGTTTGTTTAAATGACAGAAGCGTATATGAATTCAAGAAAATTTAAGCTGCAAAAATGTATTTGCTATAAAATGAGAAGTCTCACTGATAGAGGTTCTTTATTGCTCATTTTTTAAAAAATGGACTCTTGAAATCTGTTAAAATAAAATTGTACATTTGGAGATGTTTCATGATGATGTGTTTATTTCTAGTGGGTTTTGTCTCAAATTGAAGTATGTTTCTAATTGGGCCCATCTTCTAACCATTCCACTCCCACAGCCATTCCTCCTGTCCCTCCTAGCTCAGACCCTTAAGTATCCCCAGGCTTCTCCACTCCCAACCCATCACATAGATACTGCACAGATATCCAGTGACATCACATTACCTACTGGATGAAGTCCACATTTCTTAGCCTGATACTTGAAGACCTTTTACAATTAAATCCCAACTTTCTTCCCCAAGCATTTTCTATTGCACTTCTTCAAATAACCTACTCTCAGTCAAGCCTGACCATTTCCCCTGTGCTTTCTGCTGTATTCCTAGTTCATTGTTGCTTGAAACACCTACTGTCCTGTTGAGATCCTATGCATCTTCCAAGGCCCAGCTCAGATATTACCCTTCATGAAACTGTGCCTGATTTCTGCCCAGCTCTTATAGTCTTTATTATTACCTAACCTTGGGATAGCCACATTTAAGCATCTATATATACGTGTCCAGTAGAAGATATATCTTCTGCATCCTATGATCGCATATGTAGAGCTAAATAAAAACCCAAGTCCTAACAAAGTATAAAATTTATGTAACTAGTAGGATTTGGTTGTTTCTGCAAAAATCATTGTTGCTCTCTCTGCAGATTTGAATTAAGTCGGATTGCTAAATTTCTCAGAGCAGGCTTCAGTGTTTCTCAACCATGGCTGCACATTGCAATCACCGGGGGATATTTACAGACACCTGGGTCCCACCCCTAGAGATTTCTAGTGTAATTGATCTGGGATGTGGTTTGGGTGTAGGGATTTCCAAGCGTCCTAAATGATTCCAAAGTGCAGCTAAGGTTGAAAACCCATGCATTAGTAAATCTCAAGCCCCACAGTAAATTTTTCTATATAAACTTGTAAAGATAGAAGTTAAAGGCTTATATTTATAGAAGAAAATTATGGCTTTCTTAATTCAGCCTATTAAATCAGAAAATTTCATTGAAGACTTGAATTAAGGTTTTGTTGTTTGGCTAACTGAACAAGGCTAGCTGTTGTTTAGAAATACAGAAGCATTGTCTCAAATAAACATAAAAATACAGAAGCATTCTGTTTAATAAAACACTAGGTGAAAATTATATATATATGTGTGTGTGTGTATATATATATATATATATATACACACACACACACACACACACACACACACACACACATATTTTGAGATGGAGTTTCGATCTTGTTGCCCAGGCTGGAGTGCAATGGCACTATCTCGGCTCACCACAGCTTCCACCTTCTGGGTTCAAGCGATTCTCCTGACTCAGCCTCCTGAGTAGCTGGGATTACAGGCATGCACCACCGCGTCTGGCTAATTTTGTATTTTTAGTAGAGACGGGGTTTCTCCATGTTGGTCAGGCTGGTCTCGAACTCCCAACCTCAGGTGATCCGCCCACCTTGGCCTCCCAAAGTGCTGGGATTACAGGCATGAGCCACCGCACCCGGCCTGAAAATTATATTGACTATGAATAGAGCATTTTGGAAAATCTTATGTGACCTTGAGACTGTAATGTATTTTTTAAATTGGGATAAAATACATGGGGACAGTTAGTTACTTTGTAAGGTAACTAACAATAAATCTGTAAGAATGCTGAAGGGACTTGGGATTAGAAGGAATATGAATTTGTGGTGTTCAAGTAGATTTTAGGGTTTGTGGGAAATAGTCAACTCTATGGTATTCTAAAACTTAGTAATGTCTTTCAGCTAACATTTTAACCAAGAATGAGCTTTTCTGCATATTTTTAAATTTTGCATACTTGTACTTAAGTAGGATTTAACATGGAGTCTAATAACTTCCAGAAATGATTCAAAATTGAGTGATTGTACATACAGATTTTTTTTTTTTTTTTCCTGGACTACACTGTTTTCATCAGAATTTCTAGGCTCACTCAGAAAAGGTTACACTAGTATGACTAATCCTTTGTAAATCGGAGCACTGCTGCCCTCCTGTGGACTGTCACGGCATTTGACAATCCCTTCCTTACCAGCTCAAACCTAGTCACTATTCAGAAGTTTGAGTCATTGCTGTGATTCCCAGAAGACATTTTCAATTTCATTTGGGATATGGTATAAGACTAGTCCTCTTCTCCTTCCGTGAAATCAAAATTATTTTTTGACACAGGATCTCGCTCTGTCACCCAGGCTGGAGCTCAGTGGCTCAATCACAGCTTACTGCAGCCTCAACCTCCTGGGTTCAAGGGATCCTCCCAACTTAGCTTTCCCCAACAGCTGGGACTACAGGTGTGCACCACCATGCCTGGATAATTTTTGTATTTTTTTTTTTTTTTTGTAGAGACGGGCTCTCGCATGTTGCCCAAGCTAGTCTCGAACTCCTGGCCTCAAGCAATCTGCCTGCCTCAGTGTTCCAAATTACTGGGGATCCAGGCATGAGCCACTGTGCCCAGCCAAGATTAACATTTTTAAAAGAGTTTTAAATGCTGTCCCTTATTGCTTAAGTATAGGAGAAGTATAATATTGTGGATCTGTGGTCAATAAACAATTTTTCCTTCCCTCTCACATACCAGCAGAACGTTTGAACAAATTGCCAAAAGTATAGATAACATTTGAAAAAGCCGCCCTTCCTGATTCCTGATTCGATAGTACATAGCCCAGGGAAACCTGTACAGAGGTGGTAAAACTGGTGTTAGGAGACTCCACCTCCATTTATAAGATTTACCTCTCTCATGTAGCTTTTTACAAAACTAAACTATAATAATATGCTGCAGTGTGGCAAACCCTGTGCTAAACTACTGTAAACAGGAACCCCTGTAAACAGTAATCCTGGTGTTTGGGGCTTGTGGCTTCATTGAGAGAGAATTCAGGAACAAATGCTTAGAGAAGCACTTCAGAATGGTGTTCAGGAAAATTATCTATCGTCTGATTAATCTCCTCCACCTGAAAGCGTTCCTAGGAAAAATACTCTGTAAATTTGTATTTAAGTTGGGACTTGAGAATTCTTTGGTTAGGTTCCCATAGCATCGTGCTTCTCAAGTCTTAGTGTGCTAGTGAGTTACATGGTGATCTTCTTAAATTAGAATCAGAAGATTCAAAAGGTATCGGTTGGGGCCTGAGGTTCTGCATTTCTAATGAGTGCCTAAGGAGCTGTTTGTGGTGGGCTGTATGATGGCCTCTAAAGATATCCAAGTCCTAATACCTGGAACCTGTGAATGTTACTTTATATGGCAAAAGGGTCTTTACAGATGAGATTAAGAAAATTGAAATAGGGAGATTATCCTGGATTATCCAGGTGGGGGCCCTAAATGTAACCACAAGGGTCCTTCTAAGAGGGAGGCAGGGGGAGATGTGACTGTGCCAGAAGACAACATGGCCACTGAAGCAAAAGACTGCCCCGCTGGCTTGGAAGACAGAGGAAGGGGGTGCAAGCCAAAGAACGCAGCTCTAGCAGCTGAAGAAGGCAAGAAAACCTGTTCTCTCCCGGCGCTTCTGAGAGGGCGGGTGGCCCTTGCAGTCCAGTGAGCTGATTGCAGGCTTCTGGAATCTGTAACTGTACAAATGTGTGTTGTTTTAAGACACCATGTTTGTGGTAATTTTTTAGGGCAGCCACAGGAAACTAACACACCAGTGCTGGGGGCCCTCAGACCACAGTGAGTAGTAAAGCGTTTTAGGAACAAGACCACAGAAGAGAGGCTCTCAACTTTAAAACAACAGTGATGTCCAGACCCATTCCCAGACCAGCAAAACCAGAGACTGTAGGGATGGGACCAAGGGAACACTAATTTAAAGGCTCTTTGGGTGAACTGAATAGGAAGATAGGGTAGGGCACCATCATACTAGAATAAACTCAAAAATACAACTTTTGTGTTCAAGGAAAACTCTCAAGCTCCATCGAAGTATGGACACACTAGTCTGCCAGGTACTCTCCTGAAACTACACACCAGCTTCTCAAAGTGAAGGTCTGGGCCAGTATGTTACACAAATAATTGTCCAGTTCTAGACTTATTTCTGTTTCACCTAAATTGGCCAAATATTTGACTTGTCTCATCCATATTTATTAAGGACTCATCAGTGTTTTACTTCCACAGGTGGGATTTTCCAGTCCAACTTGCATGAGTCTTGAAGGTGCTGTCAGTCTAATAAGCCTCCCCACTCAATATTTTTTTCATTATCTATTCACCAAGACCCGCTTATAAATTTACAGCTAATAAAATCTGGTAAAATTTAGATAAGCAGGACCCATGTCCTACAAAGCATTTTCTACCTAGGTTGATAGCATGGCTTCATAAACCCGATTCAAGATGCTGTCTCTGGAAGAAACAGTCTACATAATTACCAATTTATTGTGCAAAACCACCTCAGAATGGCAATTTTAGATAAAGAGCTGTCCGCATCCAAATGAATAAAACAAAATAATCCTGTTTGAGGCACCGCAGTTACATTTTGCTTCTCACGACTTAGCAGTGTGGCACTATTTAAGCATTCAATGAGAGTGCTATAAACTTCTTTTATAGAAAAGACGTCTCAAATCATTGTTTTTGTGCTTTAATGCTGCACTCAATTTCACACTTACTCGTTTGAGGACTGGAATCAGGGCCTCCTGAGAGCAAAAATCTGTCGTCTGTATTTGCAACACCTAGGCTGGAGCTTTGAGCGTGGTGGGCGGATCAAAAACTGTTTAATTGGTAGGTAGTACAACAGACCCCAAAAATGTCTGACCTATAGGTATTTAATACTATTGTAGCCTATCTCAGTGGGAAGTGAACAAAACAATATAACTTAGGGTCTTAACTAACACCACCACTTAGGGTCTTCCCACCACATCCTGGGGATTAGAACATGGGTTCTTCCATCAACAGCCTGAAATAGCACTGCAGCTGCAGTGAGGGGGTGCAACATATGTACTGGCAAGTCTTCCCAGCAAATGCTACTTCCGCCCCCCACTCTCAGCCCACTGGGCAGGGCAGCCATCTAGAGGAAGACTGTGGCAGGGGGTTGGGCTTAGAAATGGCTTCCTAGGTGGCTGATTTGCCATCATTTATTGCAAGCCACTGGCTTAAAAGAGTTCTACTGAGGGTAGTTCATAGTCATGCACCTCCTGTGCAAAAAGCCTGATCAAGGGGCCACAGCCCGCCTTCCTGAAGATCCTACAAGCTTGATCCCCTATCAAATCAAATCTGGCTAATCTCTGAATAGCTTTACAAAACTGGCTCACTGGGCCAGGCGAGGTGGTTCACGCCTGTAATCCCAGCACTTTGGGAGGCTGAGGTGGGTGGATCACGGGGTCAGCAGTTCGAGACAAGCCTGGCCAACATGATGAAACCCCGTCTCTACTACAAAATACAGAAATTAGCTGGGCGTGGAGGTGCCACGCCTGTAATCCCAGCTACTCGGAAGGCTGAGGCAGAATTGCTTGAACCCGGGAGGCGGAGGTTGCAGTGAGCGGGGACAGTGCCATTGCACTCCAGCCTGGGTGACAGGGTGAGACTCCGTCTAAAACAAACAAACAAACAAAAAAAAAAAACAAAAAAAAACTGGCTCATCTTGTTTTGAAGTGTTGACATAAACTAATAGTCAAAAGCACCACTCAATCTTTTATAATGCAAGTGAAATCAGTGCTGTGCCCCTTCAAGGAACCATGTGACAGTATGTTTAGTTGAGCACCAGTTCCTTGCAGGAACAGTTGCTGGCAGAAGGGCTGTGTCTACAGCCCATGTGGAACTAAGGAGTTTTCCCATTCAGTAGGGAGCATCCCTCAGCCTTGATCTTCAACATTTCTTCTCTTCCCTAATCTTTTCTCTCATTTTATTTCTTGGCTCATAGAATTTCATTCTTCTCTTAATGGGCTTCATTTTTAATGTCTGGCTGGCTGTAACCTACTTCAAATTCTTTATGAAGTAGGCAAGATCTGCACAGCCAATTAATTTTTCAGGACCCACTTCTTATCATCACAGAATTATGAATGGGAAATAATAGATGAAAAACACAGACATGATAAACTGAACATAGTATTTATTAAGGTCAGGATGCATGAATAGACTCTTCTCAACAGAAAGATAATTCAACAGCAATCAATTTACAGAATTTAGAACAGCACTACATTTCAGCAAAATGCAACTAGAGAACATCAGATAAATTATAGTAATTTGTTTTTAAAAATCCATTAAACTATCTCTTACCTCTGCAATAATGTATCATACATGCAGTTACAGAAGTTAGTAGGGAAAAGCATGATCTTCCTTCCCTATTCTCTGCCCATCCATCTTCCAGGAAACCACAGGCTGCTGCTGCCCAGAGTTGGCATGAGGCTTCGAGGCTGCTGCTTTTCCCCCTACATCATAACCGATTTCAAATGGTGCTAGACAAAAACAGACTCTGAACACCAGGAGAAATCGGTCAGCCTGTGTAAGAGATGGGCCAGTGGTGCTCCCAGGGTCTGCACCTCGACAGTCCAGGTGGCAAGTCTGATTTCGGGTGCCCCGCAATCAACGCCGAATACTCCAGGGCATCCTCTAAGAGCAGACTGATGGTGTCGATGTGGACAAAATGGTCCTCCAGGTGTACTGCCCTCTCCCCTGCCCCATGACAATCGACACCCAATACATTGTTATCCAACAGAATATGACAATCGCCACACTCAAAGGCCCTACGAACACATTCATGCTGGTGATGGCTGCTAGGAGTCAACAGAAATAGCATCACAACCTCTGCCCCTGCTCAAGCCACTGTGTTTATTTTAAACACAACCCCCTTCTCTACTGTCACCTCTCCCAAAACCCAACAAACTCAAGAGTGTATTTTGCTCTTCAAGTTCTTCCCTGGACTTCTCGAACAGACTCAAGTGGCAAGAGGAGAGGAGCCAGTTCCATGAGCAGCAGTTCCTCTGCAGTCCACCCTTGGCTGTGCTGCAATTCTTACTCCTAAAACACTGATTTCAAATGGTGCTAGATACAAAGATGGAAAAATCTAAGCCACCATGTGAAACCAGCTTCCAGAAGAAGAGGATCTCAATGAAGAAAGAAGGGAGATTCAATCGGAAGACCCAGCCTCTGCCCTGAGGAGAAATATCTTCTTGTAGTTCTACTTGTGATATGACACAGTGCTCCATGGGAAAGGCACAGAGGAGGTTACACAGGGCTGCACAAGGCAACATGAAAGGCACAGCTGATGCTTCAAATAGATGAGAGCAATACAAAACTCATTAATTCTAGGTTAATTCTATTTAACTTCACACCAGTCACTACAAATTATTATATATGATGAAATAAAAGCTAAAATTATTACTAAAATACATTAATATTTACATTTGTACTGCCCTGCATTTGTATAGTATTTCACAGTACACAAAGTGTTTCCAGATATATTCTCTTACTTCATCAGGACACAAGCACCCTATCTGCCTGTGGAATGAAGCTCCAGCTGCTACACAAAGGCGAGTCTCACCTGGGCCAGGACAACTCTTTTATGTGTCTTAACTTGAGAAAAGCATGCATTCCTCCTTCCCACCCCATATGTAAGTATCAGAACATTCAAATATGACCCCATGAACCTGCAATCTTATTTAACCCCGATGTGACTTCAAAAACTGGTACCCTATAATTGTATTAAGCAGATAATCCTCTAACGTAAGAATTGAGTTTTATTTTCAAAGTCTGCTTGAAAATAAGATTTGCACACTGTATTCCAAATTAGATTTCCCATCTCCTTACTGCATCATCTTTTTTGGTGGTTTGAAGCTAAGAAAATATGTGTATTTCCTCTGATACCATAACCAAGAGAAAAGAGACAGAGTAGACACTGTATATTTTAGCTTCCTTTCAGGCCTCTAGATACAGCCTTATAATTTTTATGGTTCCTGGCACTAACAGTATGTGTTGCTAGAAGGAGAAGAAATAGAATTTGAACATCAAAAGTTGCGGTGTTTAATTCTCACAACAGTCGTATGGGGCAGGTATTATTCCAATTTTTGCGAAGAAATTCATCCTTAATGAGGCTAAATAACTTGTCTGCAGTCACACAACCAATCAATGCAGATCCCAGGTCTAACTCCAAAGACTGTGTTTCTGCCCTTGTATCCACTGCAGCCTGCTCCATAACTTGACTATCATCTCATTTTGTTCTTGAACTTCATTAAGAACAAAACAGGGTGGGTGGGGCAGGAAATTCCTAGGCGATACTTCTGCACTGAATGGGATCATACTGACTACATAACACGTTATACTTAGGGGGAGACAGGAGCATCATCTGGGTTCTGCGAAAGCCGGGTGGTCTGGGGCAGCTTGCTTTGTTCTCCTGCTCCTCTAGCGCCTTTGCCGTCTTTCCCCAGCATGTGGCTGTGGGAAAGACACTGAAGATGAACCTGCAACAAGCGATTCTGACACCAGCGCTAGGCTCTACAGCCCACGGGGGACTTGCTAGCCTCAGTCACAGGTGGGAGAGCTGGGGCAGATCTGCACACAAGGGCTCTCAGTGATGACACCTGTAGCCAACACCTGGGGCTTGTTAACCAGGTAACAGCCAGGGTTGTAAGGTCAGGAGTGAGTGTTTAAGGACAGTTACTACTGGGAGTCCAAATCCTGTCAAATGAGGGGATTTGATGAGATTCTCACTTTTCTGCTTTTCATTTTAGCCACTCTTCCTTATCAACTTTTAGTTACCAGTACCCCCTCCCTATGAGCTATCACACAGGTGTCCCGCAGTGATCAGAAAGCACCTTCCTCCATGGCGAGGTCCTGCCTGCCTAAGCTGTTGTCTCTTCTGGAATACTCTCCTTCACCCTCCCTTGGCTACCACCCCTCAGCCCCGCCCCCACCCACCACCACTCCAGGGAACCTGTCATCCTCCCCGCAGCTCAGGAAAGCCTCCCTGAGTCCAGCCCTTGCTAGAAGGTTAAGTGGTCCTCGCCAGCCTCAAGTTCTTTCCTTCAAAAACCACTTATCTCACTTGGTCATCAGTGTGATTATTTAATGTCTCTCCTGCTACCCGTAAGGGACCATTCGGAGTACAGCAGAGGGGCTGTGCATAGCAGGACGCCACTGCCACTGAGGGAGTTAACAGAAGCCACAGTCTGGGTCCCCACTCCTGGATTCTAAAATTTAACTCTTTACTCTCTGGAAGAAGAGATAAGAAGCCATTAACAATGCATCACTTTAATTAAACACTCTAAAAGAAGTGGAGAAAAAAATCATGTTAGTATTGAAATCCTTTGCCTTTCCAATTCCACTGGATAAAAGGGGTCCTTCAGGTCTCAGCCCTCCCAACAGAACCAGTTTTCTCCTCTCAGAATCAGCTGAGCAATGACTCTTCGCTGAAACAAGCTGGTGGCTGTTCCCTACTAGGAAGCAGCCAGTTAGTTTGGTAAGGGCTGGAAGGGGCTTGCTTTCCCTGGCACCATGCCTGAAGGCCACCTAGACCTGTAAGAAGGCAGCCCATGAAAATCCCAGCCTGCTGAGAGCTCTGCCATCCAAGGAGGGTGATGGGTTTTACCCACCTCAGCCTAATGACTCCAAACAAACTGGCTGAAGGTGAAAGGGTTGGCAGGGCTGTCTGGGGAGGAAAACCACCCATCCAGAAGGGTGGGCATGTCAGTCTTACGAGTGCTGCCACGCATGGGAAAGGTGTGGGAGCTATACTCTAGCCTGGTCCACTTCTGTCCCCACATTCTACCTGGAGGCTTCTCGACCTCACACCAGGGCATTAATCTGCTTGGGCACACAGTGAATCAGAACACAATGGTTTTAATACCTGCTTGGCCCCAACTCTGAGAACAGGGACCTGCCACTTGCCCTGAATGGGCCTCAGTGTCTTCATGTGTAAAGAGAGGAGGCTGAGGTAGGCTGCTCACAGCACATTCAAATGCTCGGAGGGCTTGGGCAGGAAACCTGAGACAGAGAAGCAGCAACAGCATGCAGCAGAAATACAGTGAACTGGAGAGGCCATATTTTGTCTAAATGCATGCAAAATCAGATACATTAAAATAACCCTAGCCAGGTGTGGTGGCACCTGTAGTCCCAGCTACTCAGGAGGCTGAGGCATGAGAACTGCTCGAGCCCGGGAGGCAGAGGTTGCAGCAAGCTGATATCGTGCCACTGCACTCCAGCCTGGGCTACAGAGTGAAACCCTGTCTCAAACAAAAACAAAAACCCGTGCAGGCCAAACACACCTGAGGGTTAAATACCATCTATAGGCTGTTGGTTAAAAATAGTTTGGAGACTGCAAAGACAGCTTCTACTTCATTCTATAAATGATGCTTTGTCTTTAAAGCCTAGCATGGTACCTAAAAAATAACATGGGAGGAAAATGGGAAGGTGAGGGAATCCTTCTTTCTGAAATCCATAGGCAAACCCACTGAACAAACAGACACTGGTCCCCAGTTACCTAACCCTGCTTGCTTGTGCTGCGCTACCACAGTGTGTGCAAATCCAGAACGTGGGAAGGTTCTGCCAAGGCAGTGCTGGGTGCTGAGTCACAGCTACTTACGTGACTGATGTGTGTTCCAGCCAGATGGGGGGAGCCGGAAGCCAAGCCCAGATGGCCATCTTCTTTCCTCTGGGAATGCTGATTTCAGGGCTCCTGGCAGCAAGGAAGAGCTCATCTTGGTGAGAGAGGGGCCTGGGGAAGGCTCTTTTGTAAAAGGGGAATGTCTTGCCCTCAAGAGACAGTCCCAGGCCATTGCATGTATAAACTGAAAGGGCAGTCCAGCTTCCTGTCATTCTAGGCAGCAGCCTGGGCATTCTGTCTTTAGCTGTCAGGGTGGGGGCTGTGAATCAGAGGGAAGGGTGATAAAAGGAATGGTATACACATGAGGGGCCAAGGGTGGAGCAGAGGGAGCATGGAGTTACCGGCTGGCCCAAAGTCCCCAGAAACCTCCATCAGGCTCTTCCTTTCTGGCAGGGTGGCCTTCAAAGGAGGACTCAGAACCCAGGGACCACTGCATTTCCCAGGCCCTGAGCCCCAGTGTGGGAATCACATCCTCCAAACCCACAGTGCCCCTCAAATTCCTATTCAGGTAAGAAGGCAAAAAGTAACAGCCTTCCAAGCCTACGTGGACCCAGCATCGGTTTTTCTGGTTTCCCCTGCGTCAGAGGTATGGAGGTCTATGTTCCTAGGCAGCTGCACTCCTAAAAGTTCAGTTTTCCATCCCTCCCTTAACACTACTGACATAAACCCCAGACTCAGTCCAGGCACGGGGGCCCTGGGTCGGGACTGCTGGCTGGATGGGAGGATGCACCAAGGTTACCCTGCCCCTGGGATGAGCTGGGGGGACAGCAGGAGACAGTGGAGGGCAAAGGGAAGGAGGAGGAGTGGAATGAAGACTGGAGCTCGCGTGTCTCCATGTTCCCCCAGTAGAAGGGCTCAGCTCTGGCACAGAAGGATGGGCATGTCCCTGAACTGCTTTCAAGAAAGCTAGTGCTTTCTGCAAGAGGAAAAATGAGCATACCAATGGTCTATTACACAAACACAATGCCCACCACAGAGTTCATGGGTCCAAACCAATGCAGATCCAAAGGCAAACCACCAATGCTGCTCCCTGGTCATTCCTAAATCATCTGCTTGACTCAGTGAAGATGGAGTCAAAAGTGAAACCACAGTCTCAGGTGAAACCTAACTCTGGAGGTAGGGAGGGAGACGCCCCAAAGCCCAGCTCCCCCACCTCCCCCAGGCAGAGCTGGTGACCACTTCCTTCAGCCACTGGGAAGTAACTAACAGATGCAGTATCCTACCAGGCACCACACTCACAAGACGGCATGGCTGCTCTCGCTGGGAGAAGCACGTTCCTGTTCCCAAGAGCTCCTCCAGAGACATGCCCCAGCCTCTTGCAGCACAGCCTCTGCTCCTCCCTGGAGGGAGAGCACAGCATCTCAAAGGAGAGAGCATTTCAACAAGTCAAACACTCTCCCCAGAGCAGAGCACAGCCCAAGGGGGGCACCAGGAAGCCCAGGGTGCTTCCTGAACTAATCTCTGAGTGGCAGTTCTCCCCAGTACCTGGGCACACACCTGGTCCACACACATGGACTGGGCACACCCTGTGGCGTGATGTAGTTCCACTTCCCTAATAGAATGGAGGGAGGCTGGGCCAGACAGAGGGTAGATTTGAATCCAAAGCCAACTGCAAGCCCACTTTCTCTCCTTCCTCTTTGGCTGGCCCAGCTGGTAGCTGCACCTATGGTGCTATTCCAGCCTCATTCTGCTATCAGGACCTCTGTCTGCCAGACTCAAGAACAGTGAGTAGCAGGAGGAGGAAGGAGGAGAAAGGAGGGAGGAGAGAGGAGGAAGGAGGGTAAGAGGGAGGGAGGGACTCGGGAGAAGAGGTGGAGGAGGAAGTTTCACAGTCTAGTGCATTCCCATCAGATCAGAGAGAGGGGAACATGTGCAACTTCCCTTTTCAAGCGTTTCTCTGCCCCCCATTTTGTTTTGGTTCCTTCCCCTCTGGCCTGGGGATGGCGCGGCTAGTGGGCTATGCAGGGGCAGGCGCCCAGGTACCCAGCCAACTGGGCTCTCGCCCGGCTCCATCTCAGGCCTGGCACGCTCCCTCAGGCCGTTACCCAACATGCCCTTCTCCTTGTCAGGGAGGCCGCGCCCTCTTGTTTTCAAAGTTTTATAACAGTATTGTTTGTTGTCCAGCAGATTAAATTCTTTGGAGGCTGGGGAGTGGGGGGAGGGTGAGTGAGAGAGAGGAGGGAAAAGAGAGGAGAGAAAATACAAATAACTTCTATTAGGCCCAAAATATTAAATGAGTTCGCTTAACACAAAGTTCACCTGTCTTGAGAGAGGCTAGTGGCCAGGAGCCTGCGTTCCCTTCTCTGTCTGTGCCTGACCTCTCTGACCCCCTTCTCACCTAGCAAGGGATGTACGGTCTCAAACTTCCAATACCACTCCTCGGGTCAAGCTGAAAAGCAGTACCAGCTAATAAGGCTGGAAGATGCATGTGTGAGCACCACCCTCCAGGCAGGACACATGACATAGCGTTGGGCAGGTCCCTGCAAGAACACCCTTGACTCTCGTCTCAGGCGTCTGGCCGAAACAGTCCAGGGCTATTGGGGGAAGGGCATCTGTAGGCAGCTGCTGGAGCCCTTGTCTCAGAGATGGCTTGTCCCTGCCGTGAACCAGTGGTTTGTTTACACTTGAAATCAAAGTCACATATTCATTGATGCCAATGACACTGGAAGAACTGTACCCCAAGGAAATAACACAACTGCATAAATAAATATTCACGTAGACCTAAGGAATAAGAGTGGGAAATAGTAATGAAAAGAGACAAAAAGTCATTATAAAATAAGCATGATCTTACGGACAGGGCCCATTTCAGCATCCTCAGCCTTTCAGGCCTGTTGATGCTAAATCTGTAGGTGGTGATGACACACAAAAAATATGATTTTCCATATTTAATACAACTCTCATTTAGCCATTAACTGATTTATTTCAGACTGTGGGTTACCGCTAAATAGTAGGCCTATTTGAACACATCCCTTTGCCTTTAGTATAGCAGGCAATGTCTGTGGCTCCCAGAGTTGTGGGCCTGCCCTGGGATGTTCCTCTCCCACCTCCTACCTTCTTCCCAGCAAACCATGTCTGGCCTTGCGTCCTCTACACGGCCCTCCTCCCTCCCCACCATAGGATTAGAGCAGCTCAGCACTCTTTCCTGGAAAAGATGAGGGACAACATGCCTTTCTCTTTTTTTATATGCAAATAACACCAGTTCCTATAAGATCAGTGCCAGAAGTTCTCTCTGCAAAGGGAAACAAGGTCAAAGTTCCAGATTCGATGACCACATTGGTGTACCCTGCCCATGCATCCCCTCAATTGCATCCAGCTTGGGCCTGTCTTGAAGACAGATGGGAAAGATGGAGAGAAATGCCTGCTCTAGATCCTGGCACCCAAACCTCATGCTGTTCCAGGGACTGTCTCAAAGTGCCACAGACTTGGGACTGGGAGGATCCTGTGGAGGACACCGAGTCTCCTACCTCAAATAAAGAGGCTTCATCTTTCCTCAGGAACCCTCAGCAGAGGTGATGCACAGTTCTCCCAGAAGTCTAGCCCAAATCACTCTCCTTGCTGCAAGTTCTGCCCACTCTCTTTTCCATCCTTCAAGTGGACAGAATGAACTGGATCCAACATGACAAATCTTCACACATGAAGCTACAGAAGGCTTTATCCACTAAAACAATTCCGCTGTGGATTCCCCATCACAGGGTTTCAGTATGAGCCAAGGATGCATTCAGGAAATACCAAAGGACAGACATTTAGAGACACATATGCATGCTGCCCCTGTCCAACCTCAACTGTCCTAAAGGAATACCCCCAGAAAAAGCCTAAACCATCATGGCTAAATCCGCTGTAAATAAAGATAAACCATTATTTCCTCCTTCATACAAGTTCTGGGTCTATTTAAACAAAGGTCACTCAAGAGGGCTAACTGGCCAAGAAGTCCTGCTGTCCAATACTCTGCCTTACCAGCCCTTATAAAGAGTGGGGGATTATGCTCTGCCTTTAAGGAAAACTGACACCCACGAGTTCTCTTACCCACCTTTCTCTCTGTGGGTAAGCCCTACTTTTTCAAGTCAATCATGAAGCAGACACTCAGAACTAAAGCCAGTGTTTCTAGTCCCTTACTTTACATTGTACATTAGCCAAGGCTTCCAGCAGGCGCTGTACATTAGCCAGCAAACAGGTAGCATACACACAACATGCATGCTGGGCAAGGCTCAGGGCATCTCTTACAAATGTGTTGGAAAAATTTCAAAAACCCTACACTGGGCCTCATCTCTAAGTGAGCTGCACTCAGCAGAAGCATGCCTGTGTGCATAGGCATGAGGTGCCATACAGATGTGTCACAGTGGTTTGATGCATCACATATTCCAGAAGCTTCCAAATACAGGAAACCTCTCCAAGAACACATGGTGAGTGGCTGGCTTCCCAGCCAAAAAGTGCAAGCCAGTTCTCACAAGAGCTCCAAGAAGTCTGAAGAATCAGAGAGTTGGAGAACCTGGACATGCTGAGGTTCCGTTTCCCATTCAACACATAGAAAAGGCATCTCTAGGCCCTCTAAGGCCTTCAGAAATTAAGGAAACTGCCAAAGACTCCACTCCCCTACTCCTGTCCCTGCCCCACTAGTCAGAACCCAGAGAAATAACAGCTGAAGTCAGAGGACCTAGATGGGAGACCCACGAGAAGCGGCTACAAGCAGTCAGATCTTGGCAGGATTGACTCTCAGGTTCAGTTTTACCAACGACAAGGATAAGACCACCTACCCTCTCAGGGTTGTGTGAGGACCAAATGAGCCAGCAAGTATGAAAAGAACTATGTGAGCTGATACGATGGTTATTACTCCATTCCTCTCCTGCCTGAGTCCTAGCCCAGATCGCTGTTTGCTATTCCATACTGGCAGTGGGGTGGCACTCAGCTATTATTAATCCCAGGTAAACATCCCACAAAGCGGCAAGCAGATAGTGTCTTGGAGAAAGGTAGCTATTTTAAAACTCTACATTCTGCTTAGCAGATTGCACAATGTGCCCCCTCAGCCCCAGGGGCTCCTACCCACACAGCCTTGCAGAAGTGGTGTACGTCTGGGACTAACGCTGCCATGGAGAAGCTAGGCCAGAGTCCCAGCCACTCCTAGCCCCCATCTGGCTGGGCCTGGGACCTTCGGCTTTCCTGCATGTGTTTTATTTTGCTATCTTTTTAAGAGTGACTCAAGACTAAAAAGCCAAAATGGAACCAGTGGCTCTGAGATATTTTTGTTTATTTTTTATTTTTTTCATTGTTATTTTTTAAAATTAAATTTAATTTTTTAGTCGAGGGCCTCAAAAAATACATGAAAAGAGAAGGCTAAATATAAAGGAAAACTTCCTGACAGCAAGGGGCACAGACCCTCCCTCAAACCACAGCTGCATTCTCTCTCCAGGGTTTAGGGCCAGACAGGACGGAGCATCTTTCCTAGAGCAGGGTCCCTTGGGTCAGCCCCTTGCAGGACAGCAGGCACCCCCAGCAGCTCCCACATAAACCCATCTCCAACAAGCCTCCCGGGGGAAGCGCGTAGCCATGTCCCCTACCACCCGGTGGATCCTCATCAACACCTTCACGAAACCTCCAGCCCTCTGCTTCCACTTCTGGGAGGTCTTTAAAAACTACCTCCTCCCACCCACCCACCCTAATTCCAACAGTACCACTTCAGCCGCTCTGAGACAGGTCATCAAGATCCCTCCCCTTCTCTTGTGGAAACCTGGGCCTAGTTTTCCTCATCTTGAATTACTGGCTAAGGAACATCTCCATGAACATTCAGGGAGGCCCCAGGATACAGCTGGAACCTCCAAAGAGATTCTGGTTCCATCCCCTCATTTCATAGATAATGAAACTGGAGCTGAAAGGAGGAAAGTGAGTGAGTTTTTACCAACAAGAGCTAGGACCAGAATCAGGGTCGGCTGACTCAACACAGAGCAACACAAACCCCACTTTCCTGACCCTCCTCCTCCCTGAGCACCCCCAACTACACTACCTCATCCCTGTGCAACTTCAGACCCCTGGCAGCAGATGGCAGTGTGTGCAGTCCGGCGGGTCAGCTGTCCATGATCAGCCAAAGAGCCAACAATCACATGGCCTGACTCCGCAGGTCCGCTGCCTCTTCCACCAAGTAAACAAGTCCCGAGCCCTGGAGCTACATGCGCTGAACACATGACACATGCCTGCCCTGTCCCCAGCACCACCAACCTGCCTCCGCCTCTCAAGACACAGCTCAACCAAGCATCTGGCACAGGTCACTTCTCTATGCCTGGTGCCCATCCCTTCCCTATCGTGAGACGATTAGCTCTGGGAACGGCTCGTTCTGGCAGGACAGGCTGAGTTCAGAACCAGCCTCCTGCAGGAACATTTGACCAATGGCTCGGCAAAGACCTAACCTGCACGTTTCCCTGTGCTGCATGGACAAGTGTGGGGCACAGTGACCAGGCTGAGGAAAGAAGTCAGCTGGTGCCTGGGAGGGTGTGAGGCAGAAGGCCAACAGCAACCATGGCAGACAGGAGAGAACCAGTCTGCCGGAGACCAAAGGCTTGACATCTACTCCACCTTGATCCCTGACTCACGACAAGTTCCTGTAAGCCATGGGGACCTTGGATGGATTTCCCAAGTTATTAGGAAAAAAGAGGGGGTTAGTTTGTGTCAGTCCTAACTCCCTGAAGGAAAGCTCAATTGATGTGGCTTCAGATGGCTGAGGTCCTAAGTCTCTAGAACCCTCTGACCATCATCTGAATTCTCCTCCTTATGTGTGTGGGGGGTCCCCCTTTTCATCCCCACACAATCTCCATATATGTCTACCCTGTACATTTTTAAATTCTTTTTAAAAATCATTATTAGCGGTGTCTCTCCACACTAGAATGTATGCCCCATGAAAGTGGAAAGTTGGCTTTGTCAAGTTCTGTATCTCTAGCGCCTGGCACAGTCCCTGGCACATAGCAGAGGCTCCGTACACAGCAGCAGACGCCATGTACTGGCCTTACTCAGCTCTGCCTGTCCATGGCTACCAAAGGGCATTTGGGTCTGCCCTGCCTCCCCCTAAAGGAATGCGGCACAACCGTCCCCAGTGACTGGAAAGTTCCTTCGGGTGTCTGCCTTTTCACTCTGGTTCACATCAGTCCTCTGAGAATCTTAGTTCACAAAAATGTCTGACTTCAGCCCAAAAGAGTAAAGATAACGTAGAGGCTTTGGAATAAGAAGTGCATGCATTTAAATCTCAACAACCTCACTTACCAAATGCATAACCTTGGGTTAAGTCACTTAATCTGTTTCTTTAACTATAAAAGGGAAGTGATCCCTATGTCATATGGTTGTTCTGAGGATGAAATCAGATAAGGAGAGGAGAGCCCTTTAAAAAGGTCAGTTTCCCTTGGACCAACAACTCTGATGCCCATCTCATACCTTCATGCCTCATTATAGACCCTGATCGGGGCACCATCCTACCTTCAGTACCAGGCACTCAGACGCAAATCCTTCACAGGAGATGCACACATCCATCCTGGGCCATGACAGGCAGCCCTGGCTGAGCACTGGACTTGTCCTCCCACACCCTCCTGGACTTGCTCCTGTGATCTAACCACACATACCACCTCCCCACGTGGCTCTATCTGCCCCCATGTCCCCAGTCCATCCCTGTAGGCTTGACACTATGGTACCAGGCTCCGCACAGGCCATGGGGCCCTGGAGGTGTTCTCTGGCTTTATCAGCCCATGAGCAGCTCTTGTGGAAGGAACCAGCAAGAAAGCAAACTCAGTCCATGCTTTCCTCACAGTCACTCCAAGTCTCAGAAAAGCAAAGCAAAATGAGGGCCTCCCACAGACAGCCGGCTGGTGGGAAAGGGTGGTATCTCTTACATATCTCAGAGGGAGGTAACACGCCCAAAAAAAGTGACCAGCACAAGGTACAGATCCTCTCTAAAGCTGTGGCTGCAGCCTTAGGGACACTCGAGCCAGGGGACAGAGCCAAGATATGCATTAAACAATTCACAGAGCTGACCGGACCAGGATTCAATGGAATAGAGAAGGTACTGACCAATCAGGGCCCCTGGCAGGGCCTCTCCCCCACAACTCCCAGCCAAGCCACACCACCTCAGCTCCAGAGCCACCAACTCTGTTAACCTCTGCTGGATCCCGGATGGAGAGGCCCCATGCTGCCTCCTGACTCCCAGACCTCAGAAATTCAAAGGTCAAGAAAAAAGTGCCAGATATGCTGGCCCCTCTCTCAGGAGATACCAACTGTTCTGCTATCCTCATTGGGAACACACAATGCCCCATGTCATGTGTGTAGAACCCAGGCTGGTGAGCAAGGAGGAAAAGAACCAGATGAGGGACAAAAATAGGAAAATCAGCAGGGAAGCACCAATCCCAATTCTGGAAACATCAGAGGCCAGAGAGATAACTGCATGACCACGAGCAAAACCAACCTCCCCTTTACTTCCCACCCTGGTTTTCCCAATCTAACCAAGGACAGGGCTATTCGTGGGAGTGGGGATCACGAAGAGCCATGCCCAGGGACACACTGCACATATGAGGGCTGAGACTCCCAAGCACAGCCAGCAGCTACGTCTGGCTCCAGCCCTACAGCCAGGGCTGGCCAGACTCTAGCCAACACTTCTTGAGGGACTTGGCTCACTCCTTTTAGTCTCCCCAGCTGCACCCAAGTCGATATCTCTCCACTCCAACACCCCCTGCCATCCCTCACTGCAGTACTGCTGGAGGGCTGAGACCTGTCAGGGTCCTTGAAGGAAGAGACATCAGATTCTTCCAAACAGCCCTGGGTTCCTCAGGCTGTTCACAGCCAACCTAGAGACTCACCTCAAATGGACAGAGGAGAAGAAGAAATAACAGGAAGCAGAATTGGCCAATCTTCCCTGGATAGCAACGGGAGCAGCATGGGGAAGAGGAACCCCCCACCCCCACCGAAACATATGAGCAGAGAGAGGCGACCACTGTGTGGCCAGAGGTAGGATCCCATAGGTACCTCCGAAAATTACCCAACATAATTCCTTTTATCTTTAGAGCCCAGACCAATCTGCTGTTGGCTAATTCCAACTGGCTTTACTGGCCAAGAATGCTGTAGTCATCTACTCGATAGGAGAGAGACTTCCTAGTGATGTGTGGGCACCGAGAGTCTGCTTTGTGAATTGTATCAATGATGCCACTGACCTCCCTGATTCTGCAGGCCGTCATCATTTTTCATTTTTAATCACCATTGCTATTACTGTGATCGGCAGCAAGTGAGGCAGAAGAAAAGCATTTCTTTGTCAACTTCCTAGAGATGCTTTGCAATGGCTTACTGGACCAGGGATTTTGTTTTTTAAGGCAAAGGTAATGAAGGCCTAGAGGAAGAAAGTGGCTCATTCAAAGAAACCCCAAAATTAGGGAGAGTCCCAAAGCTCACTGCTCAGCCCAGTCCAAACTCCAGACCACCAACCTAGACTAAGCCCCCTCAAGGCAAAATGTATCTAGAGTTAAGACAGGCCATCCACTGAGACTACACAGGGGAGAGAATCCCCAGGCACCAGGAAGGCTCCCAGGATTACCGAGGGGTTAAACCCAGAACCTCCTGCTGGATGCTGGAGCCAAAGAGAGTTTCTATTACTGTGGGAGGCCCAAATGCTCTGCCAACTGCCACACCCAGCAACACTACCCAGCTATCTCCCACACGTCCGCACAGCCCGACCACTTCAGCTGCCCATTCTGCCCCCAACCCTGTGCTGGTTACTAACCCCACACAGAAAAGCCAGAAGGAGAAGAATGCAAAAAAGAGAACAATCGTTTGGGAGATTCTGAATGGAGACGTCTGAGGATTCCCCGGCGGAATAAGGAAAATGGTGTTCGTGGGAAGGAAGGAGGATGGGGGAAGGCTGGAGGGAGCAGCCCACACTGGACTTACCTGGGAGGCAGAGAGCGGTTAAATCCTATTTCCTTGCTGCATCCAGTTTCCAGTAAGCAGCCTGGTGATGATTCACTGACAAGACTGGGGTCATGTCGCATCAGTCAGCACTTGTGGTCACAAAACCACAAAAATTGGTGGCTCAACAGCACCTATGAGAGGAAAGAGGGGAATATCCAACCCACCCTGCCCTGAACCAGCCAACACAACATGCTCACCCACCACCAAAACTCCTCCAGAGGACAGCTGAGCCCTCTCTGCCCAACTGGAGCCAGATCTCCAGAAACCCCAAATGGGTAAGGATGAAGAGTAGACACAGACCCAGGATGCCAGTCACTGTGTTTGCCCTCATATATCCTAAAGAAAATCAAAGGGAGGAGGAAGTGGTGGAGGAAGGCAGGGAATGCAAGAGGTCCGAAAGAAGGAAGAGAGAGGTCAAAAGACATCCTTAGGCAAAGCATGGCAAACAGGAAACCAGGAAGAGAAAGCGGAGGCAGGGCTCAACTGTACCCTCAGCCATGTCACATGCCCCTAGCTTCTCTCCCTCTAAGCTCAATATCCATCGCAGAGCTATTAGCCCTTCCTGGCCCTCATCCCACATCAGCACCTTCATCTAGCACGACCTTTCAATCTATCAGCATCTGCAATACAGGAGGAAAGTAAGCAGCCCTGAACCAGACAGACAGACACACACACACACACACACACACACACACACACACACACACACACCCCTTCCCAGAATAAAAGGCCCTTGGAGATGGCTCATGCTCTCTAGGTTCTGGTTCTCTGATAGAAGTGCTCCACTCCCACAGGGGAGGGCAGACACGTCTGATAAGAATTGCTTAGCACAATGCTATATATAGTCTAGGTTCCTACCAGCCTGGAGATGTGGAGCTAGAACTTGGCAGAGAACCATGCTAGGTGCTGGCAAGGACCATCCTCCCACTGCCAGCCAATGGGGAGCCTCACTTCCCGGCTGGGGGCCGTGAGGGCACACAGGGTCCTTCCAGGCAGCCCATTAACACTCCACACTGAGGGACACAGGCTGTTGGCTCCATTTTAGGGAAAATCAACTTCTCCCAAATGTGAGGGGGATGTGTGGGGGCTGAACAGCAAATTCTAGCTTCTCTGCAGCTATCCAGTAGCATGAGAAAATCAATCTAGTCCTCTCTTCTGGAGGACTAAGGGTGGGGTGTGTGGGAGAAGAATGGAGAAGGCATAGCAGGTGGCTGGGCTCAATAAACATCTACCCATTTCTGATGTTCGAAGAAATAAAGGAATGTAAAAGAATGCAGATGAATACTTACTGCAGAGAGCGGGGCTGCCAGGCATCTCCTTTTTTTGTTCCAAATACATGCAAGTGAGCCACTCTATCCGGCAGTATGACGGCTGTCTCCGGCACACTGGCACCATCCTCAGCTGAGCCTGAGTCGCCAAGAGGTTGTCACCCACTCACAGAGCAAGCTGCACTCTCCTGAGTCCTCTATGAGGAAGAAGAGAAAGGAAGATAGGTGGGCTCAGCTCACAGAGCCAACCAAGCAATGAATCCAGCAGATCCCAACCAGGGGCCCATCTGGGTTAGTATGTGGCTCTGGGATGATGACCCTTAGCTGTTGCCCGCCATCCAATGAAAGACGCAAGACAATGTTGGGCAAAATGACATGGGACCTATGTCCTGGAGAAAGGCCAGTAACAGAAGATGCAGGGTCTGATGAAGGAGGGTCTGTTTACCACCTCTTTCAGAAAATGAACCTGAGAGACCACAGAGCTGCCTGAAGCCCGAAATCCAGGCTCTTATCATATACACAGCTTGGGACAAAGAAAATGAGACACGAAAGGTTCCAACGTCCATATACATACAATCTTTTTAGGTCAAGCTGCTCTCTACTCGGGTGCAAAACATGACATGAAGCGGCTGTGTCTGCCTTTGCACTCTGAGTGGGGATGGCTGGCTCCCACCCCCTGCCCTGCTTAACTCTCTCATGTGACCTCGGTCACATCTCCCTGCCCTGCTCTGGCTCCCAAGGCCCAGGAGCCACTCCTACCAGAGATCCCAAATGAGTCACCCTGGGAGGTCCTTGGAGAGAAGAGGAGGTGCTCAGTGACAAATGTCACTGCTAGCATCATCCGCGGGAAAGCATGAGACTGAAAAATAGTACCCAGTGAAAGGAGGGAGGGGGCTGCGGCCAAGTTGTCCCTCATCCTCATAAGCAATTGTTTGTCCCTCTGCCCCACGCTCCAGCAGAGGGGGTAGAGAAGAGAAAGGGGAGGACGGTTTGTCCGCATTCAGTGGCAGTGGAGGTGCATCTTCTCTCTCGGTCGCAAGAAGGTGGGGTGGGGTGGGGCGGGGCGGGGCGGGGCGGGGCGGGGCGGGGCGGGGCGGGGCGGGGCGGGACGGGACGGGACGGGGCGGGACGGGGCGGGGCAGGGCGGGGGGATCACGCGCCTATAGCGCAAAGCTGCGGTATGGAGAAAAGCCTAGAACCCACAGCCGCCATGATGACGCAAACAAAATTAAAAGGGTCAAGAACTCAAGGCCCACTGTTTCACCTAAGAAGAAAAGGAAGAAGATGAAGGGGAGAAGAGAAGCTCTGATTTGGGTCAATATGGAAAGGGGAGGCTGACGCAGGCTGCCCAAGAGCCAGCCTTTAGCTTAGTGACGGTGATGCGGATCCGCCATCTTGAAGCGCCGCCCGGCAGAGGACTCTCAAGACGCCACAGCCCCACCACGGCCACTTCTCCCAAGGTACAGGTGCGCCCGCATTCACTGAGGTCGGCCTGGCCCACCCCTACCCCAAGAAGCGAATCGCCCTTCATTCAAGGCAATGACCAGCAAGACTATCACAAAGAGAACCACGGTGAAAAATCCCAAAGGGCTTTCTGGGCCCTGGGAAGATGTCTGTCATCTGGGACTAGTGGGAAGAACTCAAAAAGTGACCCTATTTGCCAAGCTCATCTAATAACACATACAGCTGTTATTTTCTTTTCAGACTCTAAAATGCAAGGGTTCCCAGAGCCCTGCTGAGTTACCTGGTGTCGCTCCCATCCTGATGCCCGGGCGGTGGCCGCCTTCTCTGTCCAGCCCTCCCTGAAAATGACCCCAGGCTAAGGATCAGCTCAGAGCCCCGAGCTGTTTTTGTAGCTTTCATGTTGACAGAACATCCTGGCCACTCTGCTGAGAGCTCCATCTCCCGGCTCCCGATACACTGAGTCATCTTCCAAAGAGGAAAAAAAACAACAAAGCAGCCGTCACCAGGGTCCCCATTGCCGTCGACTGACGACTCACTGGCTGTCGTCACACTCTGCTCCGCGGCCCCCGAATTGGTAACGAGGGGCTTCAGGGTGCCCAGCTCCCCTCCCGTGGGACTCAGCAGCGTCAGGGAAGCAGGCAGCCACTGCTGAGATTCAGAAAGAAGGGAAACTAACCTGGCATCAAAAGGCTCCCAGGAAAGCTCACTGACCCTCCCTCTGCCGTCACCAGCCCCCACCACTCAGATGCCATGGCATGTTCCTGATGCAGAAGTAAAGGGGTATTTATGGCAGGTGGGGGACAGTACACCTTGCAGGCTTGAAGGGCGTAACGCCTAGGTTACCTCCTCTGCGCCCCTGCTGTGATACCACTTAGGGCACAGGAGCTCCTGTCTCCCCCATTTCTTCTCTAGCCCCCTGCTATGCTCCCATTTTAAGTCCCTGATAAACCACTGGGTAGGGATGGGAACCTATTTGCTGCCAATATATTAGGCATTTCTGTATAACAGTTGTAGTAGCTCCATCTCACTGAAAACTTAAATCATATGACTTGTCTAAAGTCACTCAGCTAAGAAGAAGGATCACAATGAAAACCTAGGTCTGTTCAAGTCCAGTGTCTCTGCTCCCTGCTCTCTAATTCTGGAGCTTATTCTGGCTTTGAAGATGCTGTATCCCACTCCACCTCTCCCTCCTCTTGTACGAGGAAGGCAACCAGGATAACTGAGTCAGTTAATCCATCAATTTCAGCTACAAGAAAAAAGCCATCATCTTGAGTGAACCTGACCACAAAGGAAGAGGAGAAAGTTAATGACAGTGTCAAGGAACAGCTGAGGGACCCAGACCATGGACACAAGATTGACCACCCAAACTCCCTCAGAGCATTAGGGACTTACAAAATTCCTTAAATAGACAAATTTTGGGGATCTACTTCATAACAGCCATCTTGTAAACACCAGTAATTCAGAGAGGAAAAATGTAAAGGCTTTGGAAGACCAGGGCTCTAGTCATGACCAGGCCACTTACTAGACATGGGATGCTCCCCACAGGGCTGTGGAAAGGAGTAAATGAAGTAACTGCAGGGAAAGTGTATAACATGGTATCTGTCAAACAGAAGGCACCAAATAGGTATTTGTTTTCCTTCTCCTTTCTCTAGCCTCCCTCCTGGAGCTCCCAATCTGATAGGTGACATAAGACTTATACACAAATAATCATAACACAACAAAAGTACCATAAAAAGGGACAGACTGTATGGAAGTTTGGCTGAAAGGGCAGGGGTGGTTATGAGAACTGCTTCTTGCCAAGGAAATCAGGAGAGGTCCACGGAGAAAGTGAGACTGCCACAGGTGGATGCAGAGGAGAAGAGGCATGGAAAACATCACTGGTGAAAACAGATAGGAAAAGGAAGTTGCCTGGTTTTGTTGGAACCTATGGTCCACCAAAAGAAACTGAGAGAGGTAAGACTGTACAGGAAACCTAAGGCCAGTTACGGCCAGCATTGAGCATCACGCTAAAGGGAAGGAATTTTACTCTGGGAATTATGAGAAACCATTTTAAGTTTCTGAGCAAGAAAGACAAGATGGCCGCTGCACGCAGAAGGGCCTGGAGAGAGGGGGAACGGGCAGCGGGGAGCCTCACAAGAGGACTACAGCTGGAACCATGGCACTGGCAGGGGGCATGGAGGAGAAAGAGAAGAAAAACAGTAAGCAGGCAGGACCATCCGAACAGATCCTCAAAGCTGCCATGGACCTCACTTCCCTGTCCCCACAGGGAGGCTGCTGGAGACAGAGCCTATTTGGGGAACACAAACCACGGGTCTGACACGTCTGAGATGAGCTGCCGAGCCTCTGCCTCCACTCTCATTCAGACACTCAGCTTTTCCGAACTACTCCAAGCACCAGGCTGATGAGGACATGGGAAACCCACGCTCTGGCAAAGCCGGGCCCAGGTGTTGAACCCCTACCCAGACGCCTTCCACCTGAATCCCCACCCAGGACTGTGTCCAAGGGTGGGACTAGGCGGCTCTGCCCCTAGAGCCACCTTCATTGCGGCAGCCACCACTGTGCCTGCCTCTGCTGTGCTTTTGCCCCCCCTTCCCCTCCTCCGTCATAGCCCCCGCCCCCCGCCCACTCTGCGGAACTGGCACAGCAGGACAGAAAAACCAACGCCACCATGTCGGAGACCAGCAGAAATGGCTCCAAAATGGCAGCTCATCAGAGGAGTCCAGAAAGATCATAAACCCACCCAGGGAAAAGAGGGGAAGCCAGTGACAAGGGGAGTAAACTGTCAAAACTACCTCCCAACCAAGCCCCCGATAATCATCACATCTTTTCCTTCAGAAACATCCTCTCAAAAATCAGATGGGACATGAGTGAAAGAAGGGTGCCACCCCCTCCACCAGAGAGGCCCTAGGGGCCATAGGTGGTATGGGGCACTCAGAAGGATGTTCTGTAGCCTCTTCCCCAAGATGAGGCTAGAAAACCACCACTTTTGTCCTCAAGCTTGGCTCCTGCCAGTAACTAGACAAGAGTTAGCCCTCCCAGGGATTGCAGTCCTTCACTGCTACCCAGTCAGACCCTCCCCAGCTCTATGGGCCCTGGGGAGCAAGAAGGTAGGGTTGCAAGGAAGGGCCGAGAAGGCGCGTGCCATGCCCTCAGTTATGTAATAAGAAGGGCGGTGCTCGTCCTAGGCCAGAGACCCAGGGCGCACTGCGCTTCCAGATGCGCAGTCACGGGTGGGGGCCACTGCGCATGGCGCAGGGCTTGGTAAACCCCCTCCCCACAAACGTGAGACCTGCGACAAAGACAGGTTAGAGAGCCGGGACCCTGATTTTTCGAGGCCTCCCTCCCCCAACCAAAGGCGGACAGCCTGCTGCCCTAGTTTTATTCTGATTCTCCTCATTCCCTAGACTGACAAACCTTTCTAACCCGGGGCCTCCAAACCTCCCGTCTCCCACTGACTTTTCTGGAAATCCCACCAGATGCGGAGTTTCGAGCAATTTCCTGGGGTCAGTCCCCCATCCTCACCTTTCCAAGCACCACGTAGTAGTAGCTTCCAGAAGGTAGATCTTTCCCATACTGGGCTCAGCTCACAACTGGCTCTTGAGGGCCTCTGGACAGCCCCGGACGTCAATGCAAATCTGTTGTCCCCAGGGAGTAGCCCAGAGTCAGCAGGAAGCCCAGGGTGGTGGCAGTATCAGCAGCAGCAGCTCTGCCCTACCTTGCCCATGCGTTTCCAGGGGAGCCAAGAATTATTTTGCCGCAACACTGAGGTGTGGCTGATTGGAAAATTCCCTTTTCCAACACCAAACTACAGAATAAATATTTTCTTCCAATTTGGTCAACCCTCTGCATACCCATCTCCCTAGCATTCTTCCCTCTAAATAAAAAGTTTTGGGAGCCCTGAGCTCTTCCTCCTTATAGTGCGTGAAATTTTAAAAGGCATAGGAAGAGGCTTCAACTGGGCAGTCAAAAGCAGGCATAGACACAGGAGCCTACGCACACCCCTAAAGAGATTTTAGAAAGCTGCTGGGCTTCTCCCCGCTCCCCTTTAAGCAAGTGAAATGCAAATTCAGATTTGATACCCTGCCCTGAGCCAATCAAAAAAAGCTTTTCACCTGCCATTGGCCCACCCACCAATCAGAGGAAGTGTCTGGAGGGAGAGCCCTCCCCTGGCCAATGGAAGGCCAGCTCAGTCACTTAGTTAATGATGCAGCAGTACAGGGAAGGCCATCACATGTGAACTGGAAGGGAGCCAACATGGAGACACAGAGAGCGCAAGGTAAACAACTTTCCAACGCCAAAAGGATGACATTTAATCTCTAAATGCTAGCTTCCCTTCTTAGCTCATCCTTAACCCCTCTCAGCTGGCCACAGAGACCCCAGGAGCCTCACTACCTGTCCCCATAGAGCTCCTAACCAGATGCAACAGTGACTGCGTCACCATTCCCCACTTTTCCCAACTACGCAGTGACAAACCTACCAGCTTTACCCCACTTCTCCCAGCCCACACCCCACCCTGGCCACTCGGCTCCCCACCAGCCTCAGAATCCCAGGGCCAGACCTTTCAATAAGGCAACCCCTGGGAAAAAACTGTCCCTCTGTCTTCCTTTCGGCACTTCTCACTCCCTTACCTTCCACATAAGACCTGCACGGACAGACAGATGGACGCTGACACCCAAACAACTTGGAGAACCAGTCTGTCTGTCCACTAGAAGGAAATAGGGTAAAAGCTGGGAGGTCAGGTGGGAAGCAGGGGATGGTTCACTCCTCTCACCTCTACCCTGGTCAGGCTTGAGCAGCTGACACTAGGGAAAAGAAATTAAAGTGGGAAAAAACCCTCCCTCAGAGAAATAAATAGCAAAAATCGAGAAAGAAGGTGAGAAAGACAGAGCACCCACATACACAGAGACAGCGCCCCTGATCCCAGCAAATACATACGTGGGGGAAGAAGGGGGTTACGCCATCAAGTCCTGAAGCCCGTCGGACCACCCATCGCCGCCTGCGCAGACCCAAATCTTGGTCCCGCCGTAAGGTGCCGCAGTCCCGAATGTTCCAGAATTTGGTCCCATCAAACCCTCCACCGTCGCCCCACAACCTCTTGCTCCCACCCCTGCCCCCCACCACCACCCCACCTCCTCCCCACGGGAACCGCCCGTGCCACCTTGCGTGTCATCTCCTAGCCTAGGCTACCCAGAGGCCTCTGGCCCTGACAGATCTCTGAACGCTCAGCAAGTGAGCTGGCAGAACCTGGTGCCCGGTGTTGCTATGACTTGTTTCTTGATTTCTCTCTCTCTCTCTGCTGCAGCACGGCTGTTGCTAGCAGACCTATCGACGGAGCTTGCTTGCTCGCTCGCTCTCTCACTCTCTCTCTCTCTCTCTCTCTCTCTCTCTCTCTCAGCTCTGTGACGCAGATCTAAATTCTCCAGTCTGCTCCTTGTGTTGCAAGAGCAGAACTGCAGCTTTTCCCCTGGAGAGCCGGAGGGCAGTGCCAAGGCTGGTCAAACAAGGCAAAAAAAGTTGGGCCTACACTCTGCTTCCTTGGCCACACTTTTCAGCTCACACCCTCCCACCTCACCCCTCCTGCACCTCACTGCTCTGGGGCATAGAGGTCCCTGTCCTTTCAGGCTCACTCCTTCCCTGAGGCCTTCTCAGGCATAAGAGTAGCTTAACTCTTTGAGTGGCAGCCCCCAGTGCCCAGACAGGGCTGCCCTGTACTAAATGTTGCAACATGTTTTCTTGAGCCATATGGGCTTCTCCAGCCCTGAGAAAAAATGTTCCTCACCCTGACCACTGTCCCATTAACTCTTTGTGCCACAGACAAGTCCAGGATTACAGTCATAGCTGATTTCTGTTGTTTTTTGCCTTTTTGGCCAAAAACCAGGACCTTTTTCTCCCTGGAATTTCTTAAGGACAAAAAGCGTAATTAAAACATTGCCTGCCTACCCCACACATGAGATCCTTCTATCAGGGCAGGAATTTGAAAAACCAAATTGAACTGCAGCCTGAAGAATCCAGAGTAAAACCAGTCTGGATATCCATCCTTCCTGGGCTCAAAATTTTAGGGCCTAGGTAAATACGTTCAATTACTTTTCAAGTAATTGGCCACACAGTCTCAGAGATTTGGGTTGCTGAGTCATTTGTTCCCAAGAAGATCTGACAACATGAAAAACAGCAAAACAGAGCAACAGCCAAGCCTGGACCTGAAGTGGCCAATGACTGGGTTCTCCTCTCCAGCATGGGCAGTCAAGCAAGATGAGCATCCACGAGCCGACCCCCAACCCCTCCACAATGTTCATGCATGGATGTCCACACTCCTGGAAACTCTTCCAGGAAGGGGTGGTCCACCAATGATCTAGAGATGGAGTGGGGTTGTTTTTGGATACTCACAGGTCTCCACTACAGCAAGCAAAGAGCCCCCAACATTTTCCTGCCCCTCCCCCCAGACGCAAAAATGCTTCCAAGAACAACTGAGATACTAAATCACTAGACCCTACATACCCAGATAGACCAAGGGAGTGTTGGGTTCCCACACTGCTACATCCAAAGAATGCAGAAAGGTTCCCGACAACCAGTTGTACCATATGAGCCTAGACTTGACCAGAAGTGAGTGAGATATTCAGGTCCTGGGTCAGGTAACTTATGAAGTCTATGACATCAAGAACCTTGCAACTTCCAGGAAGATGAATGAGAATGCGAGGCCAGGCAGCTACCTTATCCCATATCTGCTTCCCAGGCAGCCTTCTTCAAGCAACTACTCTGGGCCAAAGTTTCATCCGGCAGAAAGAAGGACCACTTGGAAGACAAGCATGGCACTACACAGTTTTAAAAGAAGACCAGAGTATCTGTGCCAGGCTCCCAGCAGGGGGGAAAGTGCTTCAAATTCACACCTTCTGGGCTCCAAGGTTGAGCATGCCAATAAAGAAGTTACCTACTGGTCTGATGACCAAAGGAACGTGGCCTTGATGGCACTAAAGCAAGTCCCCCAGAAAGGTCCTCTGGTTACTTAAATCCCATTTGCCGTAGTTTCCTTCTCCATGGAAGAAAAACATGCCTAAGTTCATGTCAGGACATTCCTGATTTATCCAAGAGCCCAGGATCAAATAAACAAAGGGCTCTGAGCTCTGCCAGGGAGCCTCCTCCTTCAGGAGGCAGAACTAGAGGGAAGTAGGCTTGGTACAGAGCTGGCCCATCACCCCATGAACTTGGTGAGTGACGTGGCTGCTCACTGCCATGGCGATGGGGATGTTACGGGTGGGTGGAAGTGAGAGAAGAGGCAAATAAGTCATGAGAGACGAAGCGAAAGCGAGGCAGGGTCACAGGAGGAACCTACAAAGCCACAGAATTTGTACAGAGGCCGACTGTAGTCTATGACCGCAGCAAAACTAAGCTGAGTCCCTGCAAAGATAAGTCCCCATCTCAGGGGTGCGGCATGAACCAACTATGACTCGCAAAAACCTATGACAACACTACGTTCAGCAAGGCTTTGTTTCCTTTCATTTTCCCTCTAAATCTTTTCCTTCCCATGACCCCGTTGGTACGGCTTTGATGACTGGAAGAACACTAGGGTTTTCGGTTTTGCTCCGGTTTGAATAAAATGACACAGACATACATGGAGTGGTTTTAAAGAGTGGAGAATTTAATAGGCAAGAAAGAAGGAAGAGGCTTTTCCTGTACAGAGACAGAGGGGGGCTTTAAGCCGAAAGAGGGAACCTTGAGTGCGGTGGAAAACAGCCAGTTATATGAGGAGGCTGGAGGAGGCAGGATTAAAACAGTCATTTTAGGTACCTCTGCCCAATTCTAGGTCTTCCTTCTATTAACCTGATTCTACAAGGCACCAAGAACAAAAAAACCCGAATGGGATGACCAGGAAGCAGAAATGAATTCAGTTCCAAAAACATGGGAGGATGTTTACTTAGCAAGCACGCTCGAGCCTACAAGGAAGCAGTTTTACAGGGTGCTGCATGCAGTGTTTGATTTCAGGGGGTAAAGATAACTTCAGAGTGGGGAAAAGGTGCTGGCTCCTTCTACTCACCCTCAGAGGCTTGGGGAGGCCAGGCCAGCACAAACTTGAAAAGGCAAGGCTTCAGCTCAAGCCCAACAGGTTGCCGGCTCTCTTTGGCTCCTCGGCAGCTACCGGACTCAGGAACTAAACAAACTCTCCAGACTTCATGAGCATTCCGTGGCCTCCGACTGATCTGGGTCAAAACTTCGAAATGCCAAAGACAAAGAATTTTTTTCTTTAAAGGGGAATGAGCTGAACTTTGACCCGCCCTTGTTCAGGGTGTGGAATGCAAGCACTGTGTACCGGCCACAAACTCCAGTTCGGCAGGCAACAGCCAGAAAAGCAGTCTTCATGCCGGCTTCATGCCGGCCTCCCTGTCCTGTTTCCTCTTTAGGGCCAACTCGACGGGGTCTAGGTCTTTACCTCGCTCTCCAGACAGGGAAGCTGTGCAGAGGACACATTCCAATCTCTGTTATCTAGAGCTAGAGTGGATGTTCTAGATAAATCTGGCAGCGATCTGGTCTCAGGTGGAACTGACAGGCCCAGTCCACAGCAAGATGGCATTTCTGTTCACTCCCTGGGAGCTGGTGGACAACAGGCGCTTGGTTACCACCTGAGGTAAATCATTTATTAAGTACCTACTAAGTGCTAAGCCAAGATACAGCACAGGAAAAGCATCAGAAACAGTCCATCATGGAGAACACACACATTCCAGCTGAGGCTAAGTATTCCCAAATTTGCATTGCTGATATTTAAAACATCTGCTTACTTTAAAAGCTGAGATCCACTTTTGCAATGAAATAATATCAAACATACTGCTTGGTTCCCAGGCTAGCTCACAAAAGCCCATTTTATCCACTCCAGGAAGTCATCAACTCCAGTGTCTTCAGGGGCCATGCAGGTAATGAAGGAGTACAGTGGCCTGGGGAGGGGATGTGCCCAGTGGAAGGACCGTGCCACTCCTGATGGGCCACCCTCCTGGCTCTGCCTGCTGGGGACCATCTGGGAACAGAGACCCAAAGAGTCCAGATCATCCAGGTTTTCAGGGCAAGGCGGAAAACTAGCTTTATGTTAAACTCCTGATTTTTTTTTTAACACTGTCCAGATATTTTAATGGTCAGAACATACCTATAGAGCTTCCAGTTTGTTCTCCTGGTTGTAATGTGTCTAAAATACAATACGTTTGTAATAAAAAAAAAAAAAAAAAAGAGCAAGCATTGCCAGAGTGAGGAATTAAATAAAATAAAGAACATACCCAAAGAGGAAAACTTTACCTCACACATCTGCCATTTGAGGAAAATAATAAGCATAGAGGAAAATGAGGAAAATTTAAAACTTCCCTGAGGGCTGCAGGTGGAGAGGTGTATCGAAATGACTTCCAAGTATACGTGATTTAACTGAAGTAGTAATAATATGTGTGCATCCTGACCTGCCAGCTAGGCAGAAAAGTCATGCTGATATACTGGCTCTGTCTCCCAGTTGAGAGCGCTTCTCTGGACATCCACAAAACGTCCATCCAGGGCTTTGGTGATAAGATTGGAAGGGCTTATCATAATCCAGCTGCCCATTCAAGACACAGTACCCTCCACAAACACCACCGTGACCAAGTCATGGTCTAGCCCCAACTTGATTCAATAACTCCCACCACACCTTTGGAGGGTTCAGACAAGTGGAACACAACTGAGATGAAATCTCTCTGCAGGGAAATATTAGCCTTCAGGTCTCCACTCTGCCTCTGGAGCCCCAGAGAACAAGCCTACTCCCCCAAAGACTTGGAGACACTTTAGGATGGTTTTTACAACCAGAAGTTTTTAGGCTAAACAAGAAGGTACAAAAAGGGAAATTAAAAAGGAAGGGCGGGGGGAAGAAGCCAGAGAGAAATATTCTCGAAATAACTGATCAAAAGTTAACAAGCCAAAGGAAAAGAGGAAGAGACACAGGCATTCATGAGACAGGAGCCTCTTGTGGCCAAACCAATAGCAAGTGAAGAAGCACATGGGAAAGGAAGGGCCCACAGTCCATACACAAAAGAAAATGCCAAGAGCCACCAGATCAGACAGTTCCCAAGGCCAGCCACCAGGCTGTGCCAGTGATCCAGGACATACTGGTTAGAACCTTGCACTGGGAGAAGAAAACTGCATACAACTCACAATTGTTCAGTATGGAACTTTTTTCTGTCCAGGGGGAAGGGTTTCTTTTACTGATGGATTTGTTGGAGTTATTTATATATTCTGGATATGAATCCACTTGCCAGGTATAGGTACTGAGTATATCTTCTCCTCTCTGCTTGGCTTCACTCTCTTTTATTGATGTCATTTGATAATCAGAAGCTCCTCATTTTAATGACATCCAACTTATCAGTCTTCTCCCTTAGAGTTAGTGCTTTCTGTGTCTTCTTTAAGAAATGTATGGCTACCCCAAAGTTATAAAGATATTCTATGCTATCTTGTAGATGAAGTTTTGTTTTAATTTTCACATTTAGATTGATGATCGCTTTGGAATTTATTTTTGTATATGATCAAGATTCATTTCTTTCCTGTGGATATCCAGTTGAACCAGCACTGTTTATTAAAATAACCATCCATTCCCCACTGCCCAGCAGTGCCTTCTTCATCATAAATCAGGTGTCCAGATACATATAGGTCTGTTTCTGAGCTCCCTGTTCCATTTCTTTGGTAGAAATAAGACAAACAAATAGGTCTGCTATTACGGTGTAGATCACTAATTGTAAATCTGGTCATTTTAACATGTTTACAAGTAAGGTTTAGGAAAATACACTGAGGGGCCAATTGTGAGAAGCCAGCTTGATGTGGACATGCATAGTCTGAGAAGAGAACTCCAGCCTGGGCTTCTGAGAATGAATAGGATGAGCAAGAACTGGTAAAGAAATAGCATCACTAGCTAAGGAAGGGGACAGCAAGAAGAAAAGCACAGAAAAATAAAAATCAGCCTTATTTTTTTGTGGAGAGCAACATAGTGATTAAGAGTACAGACTCACACAGTTTAGGAGACAGCTTGCATCCAAATCCCCTAATACTATTTAGCTGTGTCACCTTGGGCAAGTTACCTTGGCCTTTCTGGCCTCAGTTTCCTAATCAGCAAAATGGGGGTAATCTTCCTCATTGAGCTATAAGATTAAATGGGTTAACTAATGCATATCTTTTAGTACAGAGCTTACCACTGCAAGCATTCATTCAAAAAATGCTGTGTGCTATCATCATCATTAGTGACACCATGGAGAACAGCTGGACTGTCAGAGCAATCTTGCCATTCAACCAACATTTATAGAGTACTTAACTACCAAACAAAAATATTACATTTAGTGGTTAAAAACTCTAACTCTAAAATGAGATAGATTTGAATCTGAATTCTAGTGCAGCCTCTTGACTAATTATATAAACTTGAACAACTTACTTAACCTTTCTAAGTTTCTAGTTTCAGCTTCATCTATACTTCATTGGGATTTTCTTGGAGAGGATGTGAGATACAGAAGTAATGCAGCACAAGGCCCAACACAGAATAAGTGCTCAATTAATCCCAGCTATCACTATGATGATGAGAATGACAACAATGGTGACATAAAGATTTTGCATTTGGTATAAGAAAAAGCCTACCAACACCTCAAAAGACTTAGAATACCTAGCATTCTCAGATCTTCCATCCAAGTACTAACCAGACACAACCATACCTAGCTTCATATTGACGAGATAAGTAGACAAGATCAAGTGTGTTCAAGTGGTAGGCCCAAGACAGATAAGGAGCTTAGAGAAAAAAAGGTTGCAGAAGCCAAGTAAAAGCTAAATTACTGGGATAGTTCAACACCTGGTAAGGAAGAGATGAATTTCTAACATCAAGCAACTTCAAGAAGAAACAAAAATACAGAAATCTAAGTATATATAATCACAAAAAGTATGAGAATGTGCTCGATGTTGGGGTGGGGACAGAAATGGTACTCATAGAGTAGAAGTCTGATGGCATTCATGGGGAAAAGGCTCCTAAGGAGCAGTGCCATTAATAGTTGCAGACCAACAGCAGTGATCATGGTGTGGTCAGACCTCAGCCATGAAGACCACACTGTGCCAGTCTCCTGGAGGAACTACCCCAGAGCCACTGAGGAGCTTTCCCCCAACCCAAGAGACCATGACACTTCCACCCATGTCACTGAGCTGAAGCGAAACAAGGCCCAGCAGTGACAACGAACACTCCAAGGACACAATGCAGTGCCAGGTGCCAAGTGAAAATCCGAGAGGCAAGGGCTGGGGACAGCCTGTGCTGGAGGGTAGGTTCTGGCAGAGGTGAAATGCAGACACACACTCAGAATGCCGCCACAGACAGGGAGCCGGAGCCAGGCGGCAGAGAGTGAGTGACCTGGCAGACGCTGGCCAAGAACACAGGGCTCCCCGACCCTCAGGGTAAAGGAAGACAAGCAAAGGCCAAGTTGAGTGCTGAATTCACAGCACAAATGGAAGTGAACCCCAGCACCAACAGGGACTCCCGTGTGAAATACGCCCAAGGGCTGCACAGAGAGGGGCATGTTTGCATGGGGGAAGGTCAGGCCTGCAACAGCAGATATTGTGACTAGGATGCTCTGTTTGTAAGTAGATGCTTTTTCCTGGACAGACACAGTCAGTCTGTCTCTCAGGCCAGAAATCCAGGCTCCAAAATGTCCTGCCCAAGCTGGCTCCCATCACCTCTTGGGAAAGTGAAACAGGCCAAAACATCTATCTTGTCTTAGGCCGCTAATCATTAAATCTAAGCTCCCACCCCAGAGGGCTCACAACTCAGCCATAAGCAAAACCCAGACTGGCAATAGCACTGGCACCTGCTATCCTGACTATGGGCTGGGGCTGAGTGAATGTGGCCACTCTGCTAACCACTGGTCACAGCTCCTGCTGCCTAAAATACAGGAGGACAAAGTCTTCTTGGGACTGAGGGAGTAACCCAATGTGCCTCTTGGCTGGCTGCTCAAAATCTTGGCCCTGCCAATGGATGGAAATAATTTCCAGAGAGACAGAGTGTGGTTGGGCCATGTGAGAGGGACTTGAGGAGAACATTACTCCATTCCTCAACAGCGGAACCTGTAGCCTGTGCCAGGCCAGACATGGCCGGGATTGAGGGGTCTTGGCCAGACTCCCTCCAGGCACAGGTTGGTGCCCTCAGACGCTGCTGCTGCTCTTGTGGGCAGGAGGAGATGTCTCTAGGGTAGGAAGAACCTAGGCCTCTGATGATTTATGGGTCTGTGCTGACCTCTGTGTGACCACATGGGTTTAGCACCATGTGACTTAAAAATGGAGTCGCTTTCCTGCCTCACAACAAACTTCTGCTCTACTTAACTGAGTCAGATCTAGACAGCAGGAATCATAAACACAAGTGGGGCAGGGGATTCCCCAAACACTTCTGACTTGAACTTTCATTTCCATACTGCCTTATCCCCCAAGCAGGGGCACGTCCGTACCTGCAGCCTAGGACAGAGGAGAAAAGAGACCAGGGCCATTATGCATGGCCTGGGTGCAGGTCCGAGCTTTCAGCAAAGTGCCAGCTTTGCCAGGAGCAGGGACAAAACTTCCAGGGCCGAGACTCTCATTCAGGGGTGGGAGAGGAGCTGGGGACTGTCTAAAACATAACAGTTAATATTTGGGATACGTTTTCATAATGTGAAACCATACCAAAAGTAAAGTTCCACAAAACCTTTGATGATGTGAATACTTCCTCTGCACTGGGAGGGGATGTTGACCAGAATCTTTGGGGGTGGGAGGCAGTCCTGTGGTTGATTTATTTACTGAAGGTAGGTGTTGGAATTACACTCTTTTAGAGGGTTCAGCTCTCTGAAACCCCCTGGGACCACTGGACAGCCATTATTCTCAGGCTAGGATTTGACATAGGCCTCCGAGGCCAATGTTCTTTCTCCAAAAGCAGCACAGCAACAACAGCTCTGCCTTAAAAGACAGAAGATTACACTTAGAAGATTTCTCCAACGCCACATACTTTGGAGGTGAGAGGAGTACCCCATCACTCTCCCTCTGAAAACTTCAAAACCTTCAGAGGCCAGGGTGAATATTTAGAAAGCAGGCGGGTCCAACAGAAAGAACGGCCATTGATCTATTCCAAAAAAATAATGTGTTTGGGGCCCATGTGTCAGGTACAGCGCGAGGCACTTTTTAAGGAGCTCCACCCTTGGCTGGCAGGAACTCCCTCGGTCAGCAGAGGCTGGTAAACTAAGAAAGCAAGATGCTAGGAGGACAGCTGGCTCCTTAATCCCACCCTGGCCCCCCAAACAAGACAGCTCAAGTCTTGCCGGCCCTGGAGGCCCAGGCACTTGGACATCACTTGCTCTATGCCTTTCTTGGGAGGCAGAGCTTAGTGGGGGTTGAGGAGAGATCTACAGGCTGAGTGCGCTCATGACACAATCAAGAAGTTTCTGGGGCCAGGTGCGGTGGCTCACGCCTGTAATTCCAGCACTTTGGGAGGCCAAAAGAAGCCAAGGCGGGCAAATCACTTGAGGCCAGGAGTTTAAGACCAGCCTGGCTGACATGGTGAAACCCCATCTCTACTAAAATTACAAAAGTTATCTGAGCATGGTGGCACATGCCTGTAATCCCAGCTACTTGGGAGGTTGAGTCATGAGAATCGCTTGAGCCTGGGAGGTGGAGGTTGCAGTGAGCCAAGATTGTGCCATTGTACTCCAGCCTGGGTAACAGAGCGAGACTCTGTCTCAAAAAATATATATATAAGTTTCTGGGTAGGCTGACATGAAAAAATTACCACTGGAGCTTCTGAGAGCCCTAAATCACCATAAGGGTAGAGGAAGGAAGACAGGAGGAACTGAGATGCTGAGATAAGCTGGGATGTCCCAGCCCACTTCCCTAGAGAGGCCCTTTCCTAACAGCCAGCGGGAGAACCCTGTTCACGGAGCCCTATCACTGACCTCGAGGGCAGCACCAGCATCCACAGTCAGGTCATCCCGAGAGTCGTAACCACTGTTCCTGCCCCAAACCCAATGACCCTCTCAACCCCATCCAAATAGCCCAGGATGAGCCACAAGACAGGGCCTTAGAACCCTGGGGGTGTAAGACACCCTGAATGTCATCTGGCCTCACCTTCCACTGAGACAAGAAGATTCCGCCTTGGGTTAGAGTCCAAGGTGTGGGATCTTGGGTGAGTTATTCCATGTCTTGCCTAAATTCTCTCATCTATAAAGTAGGGCTGATAAGCTCATCATACCTCTTCACAGTGTTGCTGTGAAGATTAGAGTCTATTTGAGTAAAGCACTCAGCAACAGTGCCTGGTACCCAACAAGTATTCAGTAAGGAAAGTTATGGCTACTGTTTTCATTATTAGCACCCCTGCATGGTGGACATTCGCTCATGTGTAAACACTACAGGGCCCACGGAAGGAGCTGGAGACCTGACAGGGTCACCCATCTTCTCTCCCTCACATCCTTCACAGCCCATAAAGCAAGACAGGAATCCAGCTCCCAACACCAACGTCTGCCTCCCTGTCACAGCTACCCACTGGCCCCAGGGCTGCCCCCTGAGGTACCACAGGGTAACTCTGACACCCACATCACCTGACAGTGCTTTAAGCACACAATACTGTACCTAGCAAACCCCCTCTCACCAAAATCTCTACCTCTCTGGGCCACGCAGTCTCATGTTTTTAACCACTCTTCACGTGCCAGCAGCTCTGCTCTGTACTTCAACTAGTAGTTTGACATTTTCCCTCCTAATTGAGATCAGGAACTGGAGCGGCCCTCCAAAAGTGGCCTGAGAAGGCCAAAGGGCAGCCGGCTCTGATCTCCCAGAGAACCTTCTTCCTCCCTTAGGAGTCCTCACTCCCTGTCTTGCTTAATCTTCCCCTGCCCCTCAACTCCCAACCCAGCCCTCCCATACACACAATAATTAAAACCTTGCTATGTGCCTTCTTCAGACCCTCTCAGTCTTGAGCTTAGGAATCTGCCAATAAGCCTTTGTTGAATTATTTCTGTATGACACACACTAAGCCATTTCACATATATTATCTCCATTAATCTGCTCAATTTCCCTTAGCTGGGAATCAATCCCAATGCTCACCTGCTCCTTTTTCGAGAGTTAGCTGGATAGATTCTTTCCACGTGGCCAAACTCCAGCAAGGAGAAGGTGCTTTGATACTCTTGATGTTGGACAAGAGTCTGAGACCCATGGACTCTACTAGACTAAGCAATATGTCTACCTGTATCCTTCACTCTTTCCCAGATGAGATAGACAGCAATCCTGCAGGCCCCACGTTTGCCATGATTGTTCTTCCTTCTCCAGATGCCAACAGTTTAACCCCTTGTTACAATTTAGAGCCAAGATAATAGGCTGTCATGTCTCATGTCACACGTGGCTCATCTGTAGCCTCCAATTAGAGTCTGAACTTTTCAAAGAAAGGGTCCAGGCAAGCTTCAAAATTCTTTTTTCATTCTTGCCAAAGCGATACTTCTAGCAGCACTCAATCAATACTTGCTGATTGCCTGATTGGACTAGATTAGGCCTGTCAACATGACAACCCCTAAATCCCCAACAAACACACTGGAAATGGGCTCACTTGATGTGAATCCCTTCCCTGCCCACCCACACAGGTCCTCTGAGGTTTCTCCTACTCTCTCCTTCCTTTGATCTAAATGTATCAAACAAGAATGTGCTCTTCTAACTGCAGCTTCTGGAAAGGGTCCCCAAGCAAATATCAAAGGGACACTCAACCTGTAGTGTCACAAACACCAGCAATCACCTCACCCCTCTGCCTGACGGATGCCAAGGACAGCTGGCTCTGGACTAAAAACAGTGCAACCCCAAATCTGAGCCCTGGGGATCTTTTATGTGTTTTCCTTTTCCCTGTGACCCCATGTGAGGCTGAGAACAAAGGAGACAGAAATCAGCTGTCCTCATCACACAGGTGGGAAGGCCACTGTCAGACCCACCCTCTCCCAGGGAATCAAAGACCAGAGACTCTAATGGTTCCCCATGGCTACCAACTGTAAATTTCAACTAAGAGTAGAAAGTGGCCTTACCTGATACGGTAACAGAAGAAGAAAGGAAAGGAGCAGAGGAGTGCCACCCAGGGCCCTAGGAGGTAGGTGGAGAGGTGGAGCTTTGCATGCCTTCAAGTGCCTCCTGCGGTGGGCTAAAACTCTTACTGTTATTAAGAACATACAGCAACCAAGGAAAAGAGGGGGACAAACCCTCTACTTTATGGCCTAGATCCAGGCATTTCACAGATTCTGATGCGCTCCAGACAGAAGCTCAGGGTCCTTTTGAGACATGAAGAGTCTTGACTGCACAAGAGAAGACCAAAAGTTCTTTGGAGATGGTTCTAGGTCCCCACTTTAGTTAATTAACAAGCTTTTACCAAGTACCTCCTAATTCTTCTAAGTACTTCCAACACCTACGACACAGCCAGGCACACAGTGTGGATGCTGCTACTGAATCCAGGACAGGAGGGAAAAGAGAATCAAAATTAAATATAAGATACGGTTCATAACCAAAGGCGTTCCTGAAATAGCTTCCAGAGCTAACATGATTTGGGAACAGTTATAAAACAGCCTCACTGCTAGGAAGCTTCTCGTGGGCCTGGACTGCGTCTTACAGCCCTTTAAGCCACCACATGGTGCACATCCATGTCCAGTAACCATCCACTGGGCAAACAGGCCGATGAACACAGGAAGGAAACACAGCACAACTTCCGTGAGGCCTACTTCTAAACATTCGAAATACCAAGTTTACCCCTCATTTTTGGAATCATACAATGCTGAGATACAACTGACTGGCCACTTCCTGCCTACCTGTAGGCTATCCCCAGAGTCGTCATGTATCACCTTTGTATAAGAAATGTGTCCCAGCAAGCCAATCTCAACATTTAACCTCCTTCCCACACCCATCCCAACACTTGGCTCCCCCATCTCCTTTTTCTCTCTCATATGCAGAACCAAGTAACAAGTTAAAAAATGGCAGGAACTCTTTCTGAGTAAACTTTGCTCCTTGGCCAAGATGATAAAGCTGAGCTTCACCGTGGAATGCGTCCCTCCTCCCGGTGATTGGTAACCTGCTCAGGCACAGAATGGAAGCTGGCCAGCTGACCTCCAGGACTCAGCCATCTCCCTGGGGCCTGCAGAAGGACCAGGGACAGAGGCTACCTCCCTGCAGCCCTTGTTGGGCCCCACGGCCCTGACCACCACCGACCCCCACTTTGGGAGATGAGGAATAGAACTAGATTCTCCATCTGGCTGAGAGCCCGTTTACAGGGCTCTGGCTTCCTCCCAAGGCTGCCCTCAGTCCCACCAGACCTCTATGTTCTCCTTGTCCCCCTCTGGGAGATCCTTCAAATAAGGCCAAGGCCCCCAATTAGCATGCCCCTTGCCTTTTATCTGCCCAAGCAGCATCCTCCTCATCACGAACATCAACTTCCACATTCCACAAACCTGCCACGTTGTCAGGCCTGGTGGTTGGCCCCGTGCTGCCTCAAAGCTCATTCAGCATTCCACGACAGCGGGACGAAGCTGGCACTGTTATCACCTCTACTCCACGGATAGGAACTGGGGAGCCTATACGAGGAGGCACAGCTGGTAACTAGACTCAGAGCCCTGTCTCTTAACCGCTGTGCTGTACATGTGGATGACATCCCTTCTCCTCTGATGAGACCTCCTCCTAATGCCTGTCCTTGGCAGATGAACTACTCTCTATTGTCATACTTGACCATCTCTGGCATAAAAGGTGGGGCTAACCAGGTTTCCTTAGGGAAAAAAAAAAAGGCCCAATACACGTGACTTTTTTGTACATAAGTATTTTTTAAACAAGTTTTTACTACTGACTCATTGAAATGAGGTGAAATGTATGGTTAACCCCTTCCAGTTTACAAAGTGCTTTTGTAACAAATTAACTTCATTCCCCATCAAAGCCTAGTGAAGTACATGCAATTATTCCCATTTTACGGAGGAGAACATGAGGAAAGCTAGGAGACTCATCCAGGATCACTTAGCCAATAAGCAGCAGAGCAACAAATTGAACCCAGGACTCCCAAAGGCTAAATCCTGACTTTTGGGTACCTAGCCATTGAGAGAAAACACAGCATTGGCATTCAGAGTGGGAGCGTGGGAGTCACAAAGACTCACACTGGCTGTGTGACCTGAGGCAAGTTAATTAACATCATCTTGTATCACTAAAGCAGTGCTACTAACAAGCGTGACACATGGTTACTGTGGGGATTAAATAAGATAATGTATGCAAAGTACTTAGCATGATGCCCAACACATAGTAAACACCCAATAAATGGCCGTGATTTTTATTACTCTCCACTGTCCAGGCAGCGACTATAACATCTCCTTAACTCTCTGTGTGCCTATTATAGTGGACATGAGATACAAAACTGTATGTAGTAGGTACTTAATACAGGTTGACTAGGAGCAACTTCCTGATATCCCAGCCACTGTACCTCACAAACAGCTGTAGGCAAGAATAACAGGACAAAGCCAAGCTCCCAACCACAGCAACTAGAAGGAAGCAGTGTCCACCCCTGAGGAACACATTCCAGGACTCAAAAGAAAGACAGAAGAAGGCTCGGAGCTGCAGTCTCTAGACACGAATAAAATGGCCGCCAGCCCGTGCCCTGTGCCAGCCTGAGCACAGCTGTGGCTCCCAAGGGCAGGGGTCTGTGTTTTCTCCACATCCTGCATCAACCACCACTCCTTCCCAGGGCTCTGGGTCTCTGCTCCCGGGGCTTGGGAACATGCATGTCCTTGGTGAGAAGACCACATAAAAGGGCATGGCCTACTTCCAGGAGCCTCCCTGATTCCCACTTCGAGATAAAAATAATAAACACACACACATACAGAGGGCGGAGAGTGAGGGGGGAATTAAGTGGTGTAGAAGCTAAGGCACAAGGATTTACAAAGCACAGGGCTGCGGTAACCTGGCAACCTACGAAAGGTGTGTCAGAATGAGTAGGATGCAAATAGACAAGCACCAGGGCTGGGAACAGTCAGGGCTGGACGGGGGAAGGTCACAACGTGCTGGCCTGGTTCCTTGTGGCGCTGAGCTGAGGAGGGAGGGGGAGAACAGCAGATAGGACGCTGCTGCCCACGCAGCTTGTGACTCCCAGCTGTGTGTTCCCAACAGGCTCCCAACTGGCCACTCTGCTAGCTTCAGGCTCTCTTCTCCAATCCTGTCTAGATATTGCCATCAGTATCTTCTCTGAAATTCTGAACCATCATATGCCTCCCCTGCTCTAAAGCTGCTCATGGCTCCCCAGCACCTAGCCTCAGCATCCTGTGGCATGTGGTTCCAATCTACCCCTTCAACCTCAGGATTCACTATCCTCCCACGTCCTGTACCTTCTGATCCTGCCTCACTGCCCCTTCCATATGCCTCTTTTCTATGGGCTTCTGCATATGGTGAGTCCTCCCTCTCAGCTCAGTCTAAATCCAGAGGTCACAGCTATTTCAACACATATTTTCTAAATACCTACCATGTACTAGGCACTGGGCTGGGCACTGAGACTACAGAAATACTTAAAATATATCCTGCCCACAATGAGCTTGTGGTCATAGGGCAACTCAAACAAGCCAATGTGAAAGTAATAACAGGAACAGCAGATACAGAGCACTTCCTATCAGCAAGACCCTCTTTTCAGCCTTTTACATGCTCACTTTCATTCTTTAAATAACCCTATCAGGTAAGTATGATTATTATCAGCCCCATTTTATAGATGAGGAAACTGAAGCATAGCAAAGGTCAAGTAAAACTTACTCAGAATCACCCTAAGTAAGTGATAGGCTTCGACGGAGAGTGAGCATCTCTGGGAGTGGGTGCTGCGGTCCAGCAGGGCAGTCAGAGGTGGCCACAGCCATGGATGAAGCCAAATCCAGGATGGCCATGGCCAAGGCACCTTCTCTCTATTTCCCCAAGAGGCCATCCTGGAAGCTAACGCTTCCTAGATGGAAGATGTACTTAAAGCAGGAGGTAAATCCCAGAACTCTGGGAGGCCAAGGTGGGCGGATGACCTGAGGTCAGGAGTTCAAGACCAGCCTGACCAACATGGTGAAACCCTGTCTCTACTAAAAATACAAAAATTAGCTGGGCATGGTGGCGGGCGCCTGTAATCCCAGCTACTTGGGAGGCTGAGGCAGGAGAATCGCTTGAACCCGGGAGGCAGAGGTTGCAGCGAGCCTACATCATGCCACTGTACTCCAGCCTGGGTGACAGAGCGAGACTCTGTCTCAAACAACAACAACAACAACAACAACAAAACATCACCCAAGGCTGCCCTCTCTCCTTCTAAGAAAGAGACAAGCAGAAGGGGAGACGTACATGAGCAACAGCCAAGTGTCACAGTGTGAGGGGATGGAAACTCAAATTCACAGCAGATCCACTCAACATCTATCTTTCCCCCAGGCCACGTAGTCGGAGGACTTAATTCTATATTATTAAGGGCTCAGCAGCTCCACCGTCCTGCCTCTAGCGCAAGCTGAGGAAGGGACCTCTGAGGTGTTTGGAATGGTTTCTTCTTTCTGTCCCTGCATGGCTGTGTCGGCATGGCTAGAAGATTCCATGCATCCCTGACAGCCCAGGATGCCTCTATGTCCGTGCCAGGCAAGTCTTCACTATACCACGGGGGAACAGGAGCAGGATGCTGGCACATTCACATCGCAAGAGGGCACGGGGCACTGTGACCCAGTCTCTAGACAGGGGCATCTCCACCTAGTGCTGTTCCCCCTTCCCACTGTGGGCATCGGGATATTGTACAGCTTCAGGGTCAGGCACAGCAATATGGCTCAGAGGAGCTCACTGTCCCTTCAGTCCGACCCAAGGGCCTTTTCTCTTCATCTCACAGTAGAAATTCTATACTACCCAGGGAGTCCCTGGGCCCCACAGAGGCCACCAGGGGCAGCCTCCAGCCAGGCTGCAGTTCCACCACTGACCAAGCAGAAGGGATTCATTCCTCCTCCTCTTGTTCCAGCAACACTGTGCTGCTCTTCCTGAAAACTGGCTGGAATATAAGCTCCATGAGGACAAGAACTTCTGCCTGTTTTATAAACTACAGAATTCCCAGTACCTAGAATGGTGCCTGGAATATAGCAGGCACCCAATAAATACCTGTGGAATAGATGCATTATCATTTCTACCTTATAAATAAGAAGAATTAAGTATATTTCCTATAGACATAAAGCTAGTATATGGCAGAACTAAAATTCAAATCCAGGACTTCCTGGGAACAAAATAAACCATATTGTACAATCACCTAACACTACTATTTACTGAGTACTGACCTGGCAAAATATGTGGGAGGACAAGGAAGATAATCCCCATGATTAAAAACTTGTATTGTCTGAGCAAGAGCATGTGAGCAAATAAAAATTTTTTTAAAAAAATCTTTATTAGGGATTTATTATGTACCAGGAAATGGGGGACATACAGACATGGTCTCTCTTTAAAGGATGTGTGTGTATGCATGTGTGGCGTATACATACATATACATACATACACATATATGTAAATATATAAGTATATGCTAATTTATACACAATATATGTAAATATTATATGTGTTATAAATTTTTTAAGCCCATCACTAGGCAGTATAGGGGAGCCCAATGATTGAAATAGCTAATAAATATGTATAACAGGAACAGAAAGGGGCAGAAGTCACTGCAGGCAGATGCTCCACGAAGGAGATGGAAGCTGAGGGAGGCTCTGAAGAATGTAAAGCCTTCCATGAGAATGAAGGAGCAAAGGCAACCCAAGGGGCAGGAGTGCATATGCAGCAGAACCCTGCAGGCTCTGGGAGGAATTCATAGAGAAGTCTGACTGCCCTAAGGTTGTTTCCCCTTTTTCCATTTTTTGGAAAATATACACTTCTGCTTTTAACTGTTCCACATTCTGTACCTATCCTTAATACCTTGCTTGAAGAAAGTGTTCCACTGCAATAAAAAAAAAAAAATATATATATATATATATATATATTTATTTATTTATTTATTTATTTGGAAACTACTGCTCAAATTCAAGCTTGTTCTCCTACATATGGGAAACTGGAGTAGCCCAGGGTCCCAGAGCTAGCTCACAGCAGAACTAGGGGAAAGACTGTAGGCCTCCGGGCTTCCCATGAGCAGACTGGGAGACACTATTAAATTTCCCGGGGTGTAGCAGGAGAGCAGAGAAGGCAGGCTGCTGTGGAGACTGGGCATTATGGTGAGCCAGGCCTCAGCATCCTGACTGAAACGAGGGGACCTCAAGGCCCTTCTCAGCAATATATGCCTAAGACCAGGTTGTAACCTGGGACCTTCGGGCCCCTGCAGCTGAGGTCTCCCCTCCTGCTGGAGAGACCGCAGGGTTTTTTCTGCTGCAAGTCATGAGTTGCTTGTTGGTTTTTTTTCCTGCTTGGCTTGTTTTGACACGAGGAAGAGGCTAATAATCCTCCTGGCAAACCTAGGTAAAACAACAGGGCCACAGCCCCCTCTCTGAAGCAGCAGGGGCAGCTGGCTCTGACAGGGAGAAACTGGATCTAGGAGTGTGATTGGTCAGCAGCTGACCTCTCTGCTCTGGCCTCTGGTGGCTCCTACACATCCCACTGGAGCTGTTTCCCTAAGAATGCAGACTCTGGAGCAGGACCGGTGCAATTTCTGTCTCTGCTTATTACTAGCTGAGTGATCTCAGGAAAGATATTATAGCTCTCTGTGACTCAGTTTCCTCATCTGTCAAATATAACAGTTATCTCAGAGTTACTGTGAGGTTTAAATGAGTGAATACATAGAAAACAGAACAGCACCTAGGACACACTAAACACTTAATAAAGTTAGCATCATCACTACATTATTGCTTATACATAAGGCTCCCTGAAACCTTGTCTCTTAGATGCTAAGACCAGACTAAGCTGAATGCTAAGGTAACCTATTGTGGAACATAGGTAAATAGTGGTGTCAGAGATCTGACAGGCACAAGCCCAGAGACTCAAAGCTTCCTTCAGGGTCCCGGATTCCCTTTTAGCACTCAGAGCTGTAGGCTGGTAGGGTGACACCTCACGCTTCCTAGCTCTGGCAGGGACACCCCATTATTCAGAAGCACGTAGGGTCTCTGGCCTCTCCAACCCCATGCTCTCTGCCTTCGTTCTGGCACTGGTGGGTGGCATCCGACTGGTTCCCTGTATAGAATACTCATGCTCCACGTGCTTGCATCCTTCATTTACATCCTGTAGGAATACTCTAGGCAATCCCTAGAAGATAAATAGCTTCTAGGGATCCTGAATTTGGGGGAGTTAGCTGGATATTATCTTTCAAAACCATTTCTGAGGATTTCCTTGAGATCTGGGGCCAACCTTGTGGGTGTACCTAAGAAGTTACCAAGCCGCTTTTTCAGAAGTGCGTATGCATGAGAGTACAGACTTTTGCCTGGCCCCAGAGCAGAGCATTGGGAGCCCAGCAGTTGTGTAGGAAGCTGCAGAGAGTAAGATGGGAGCAGACGAGGCATCCACTTTCTCAGTTTTCAGCCCAATATCTGTGGAAAGGAAGGTCTCTAAAACTCAGGTAAGTCTAGGTACAGCCCAGGCTTAACTCTTACTTCTTAATCTCACCTTTTTGTCTTTCTATCCCAGCATCTAGTGTTAAGCAGGGCTCTCAGCTGCAGCCCAGTGAATACTGGTTAAATTGACTAGAGGCTCTTGATTTTTCAGCATGTGACTGAGAAATCGCCACACTCATATTTGAGCAAGTGCATCTGTCACATGCAACCAGGTCTTTACAACTACCACTGTCCATGTTACAATATTCTACCATACATACAGGGCAATAAGCTTGCCTGGGGATTTTTTGGTGTCCAGTAATTTTAAGTAGGAGTTACATTAGATGTAGTGTTTAGATGTAGATTACTTAAGCTTCCCAACTGCCAACTCTTGATCAACTTTAAAGGGAAAGAAATAAAAGAAGTGCCGACCCTGCCTCCCACGTCCCCCGCAAGTCCACTGCCTCATCATTCTGGTCTCCTTTTGTGCCCTGTACCCTCCCATTCTTTCCACCAAGCTCCTTTTCTCAACGCTTTCTCACTTGTGGTGTCCTTCTCTCTCCTCTTCATAGTGCAGAGTCCAACTGTATTTCAAGTCCACACTCAAGTTCAAGACTTCCACTTCCACGAGGCCTTAGAATGATTTGTGCTGATGAATCTTTACGTCTGCCTCACACGTGTTGCTAGTCCTAGTGCCTTGCCTACTGCCTAGCACTTAATGGCTCTGGCTGTACTGGGTACATTTCCCCTGATCTCGTGTTCTGGCCTGTACCACTGTCCTGAGACCACCTTTCCTGCATCTGTCATGACTCTGGTCCCACCTGTGCTAGCCCCAGGCCCCTGCTCCTATTGTTCAACCCCGTCCCTGGGAGCACCTTCACACCACTGTCTTTACCCCCTACCCATGAAGGCGATTCCAACCTTTAGTCCTGAGACATCCAGGAATACCTGTTGGACAGCCCACTTGGGTGTCCCACTATCACCTCCCGTTCAACATAACTAAAATTCATTCAACTATTACCTGTTGAGTTACTTTTAAAGCCAGGATCTGTTCTAGTCACTGGTGAGCAAGCCATGTAAAAGTCCTCACCCCAAGGGTTCATCAATGGATGAAGCGATGAACAAAATACAGTGGAATACTATTCATCCTTGAGAGGGAGGAAATTCTGACACATGCTACAACACAGATGAACCTTGAGGACATTATGCTAAGTGGAATAAACCAGTCCCAAAAAGACAAATACTATATAATTCCACTTACATGCAGTTTTAAGAGTAGCCAAATTCATAAAGACAGAAAATAGAATGGTGGTTGCCAGGGGCTGTGGGGAGAAGAAAAGGCAGTTGAATGGGCACAGAGTTCAGTTACGTAAGATGAATAGAGTCCTGGAGACAGATGGTGGTGAGGGTTGCACAACACCACGAAGGAACTTAATACAACTGAATTGTACAATTACAAATGGGTAAGATGATGAATTTTATGCTATGTGTTTTTTTAGCACAATAAAAAAATGTTAAGTCCTTGCCTTCTATGCACTTTTCTGTATGTTATGCTTCAATTAAAATGAAAAAGATTTTGTCATCATGGAATTTATATTCTAGAGTCAGTATCTCAGTCATCATCCAAGCAGTTTCCTTCAAATTCCCATCACCTGTACCGCCAGTCTCCAGGCCTGTGCAGTCCTCCTGGAATTCCTCCTTTTGCCCCATATCCAAGTGCTCTCCATCATTCCTCTCTAAGGCTTGCACCTCAGTGCTTCCTCCTTCCGAGAACCACAATTCCCATCACCTCTTCATTTTTGATAGAAAAGACGAGGAAGTGGGAAAAACTCTACAGGGCCTGATTCCAGCGTTGGCTCTACCACTTGCTCAATAACCTCTCATTTAAACTTTGATTTCCTCACTCACCAAATGAAGAGTTTGACAAGACATTCATGAAGGCTCCTTCTGGCTCCGTACCAGGATAAGTCTCCGGTTCACCCTCCCCAGCCTGCCCTGAGGTCTGGTGTATTCCTCTCAGGCACTCTGAGCAGCCTGAGAAGAAAGGCCTCATTCAGGAGGGGAGCCCAGCCCGGGCGACAGCTCCCTCCAGGAGCTCCTTGGCTCTCTCGCCAGCCAGCCTGAACTTTTACTGCTTGTAACCTTGTGACTTTGGATTACCTGACCTTGAATCCTGCCAGCCCTGCACTCCTGCTGGGACCTCTTCTGACCTGACTGCCTGTAACTGGGACAGCCTCGCCTGCTGACACTGGACCCTATTCTGCTACTACAAACTGGGCTGCCTTGTGGCTGTACAACCAGGATGCTGCTAGCCAAACTGTGAATTCTCCCTGGGCCATGACCATGGCCCCGACCATGGCCCTGCCTTGGCCCTGGTTCCTGTAGTGTCCTCTGAGCTCATCCATCTGCTACGACAGGGTCCGCAATCTGCCTGTGATTGATTCATTCACTCCAAAATGTTCACTATGACACTTATTCCAAGACAGGCACTGCTCCAGGTAAGAGATACATGAGGATGAAACACAACTGCTTCCAATGTCAACATATCCCATTGCCAGGGCAAATTTTCCCACTTAATGAAGACCTATGTTAACTTACCACTGTCAAATTCTTTCATGTAACAGGTATTTACCATGTGCAATTACTATGTGCCAGCCACTAATCCAGCACTATAATAAAACAGCAGTTTAGGGAAATGCAACTTTCTATGTGGTACAATGGTTAAGAGTATGGCCTCTGCAACTGGAATCTCAGTTGTGTGACCCTGGGCAATTATAAGATTTCTCTGAGTCTCAGTTTCCTCACTCGAAAATGGGAATAATAATAGCACTTAACTGATAAGCTTATATGAGGAATAAATGAGCTAGGCCATGTGAAGTGCTTAGAACACTATATGGCACACAGTAAACACTTGGATATTAGCAGTTTTTATTTTTATATAACCCCAAAGATGCCAGCACTTAATATGCCAGAAACTTCAAGAGTCCCTGCTCCAGCCTGCATAACCAGTATCCCAAGAGTACCTTTGTAGATGAGTAGTGATAGCATGTAGCCCCAACTTCAACATAGCTAACAAAGAATAATATATTCCTGTGCAAAGCACTATATACAATTCTAATATTTTCACATGGGTTAAACTTAGGAATATCACTAAGGAAATGGATACCCAAAGCTACCGAGGAGTGAAAATCTTCATAATACGTATATCCAACAATATATAAAGTGCTTCCTACAAACCATTAAGACAGGCAACCCAATAGAAAAATAAGCAAATGATCTGAAGAGGCATTTTGCAAAGAGGATACACAAATGGCCACTATCCTCAAAACGCACATTCAGACTACAGTACAATATTACTACATACCCACCAGAATAAGTACAATGAAAAAGGAAGATAATATCAAATATTAGCAAAAATTTGGAGCAACCAGAACTTGCCTACTTTGCTAGTGTGAGTATAACTGGTACGACTGCTTTGGCACTACTATTAAAACTATGATCCAGCAACTCCACTTCTAAGTTTATACCCAGCAGAAATATATATGTATATACACAAGTATGTATATGTATGTATACATACATTCAGGTATGTATATGTATGTATACATACATTCAGGTATGTATATGTATGTATACATACATTCAGGTATGTATATGTATGTATACATACATTCAGGTATGTATATGTATGTATACATACATTCAGGTATGTATATGTGTATATATCCATTCACCAAGACATTCATATTTACAGTAGCACTGTTTGTAATAGCCAAAATCTGCACACAGCCCAAATATCCATCAATGGTATACAAATAATAAACTGTGGTCTATTAATATGGAATACTACACAGTCATGAGAATGGAAAACTACAATGGCACAGAACATGGATGAATGCCACAAGCAAAATGATGAGTGAAAGAAACCAGACTCCAAAAGAGAACATACTGTGTGATTTCATTTATATGAAGTTGAAGAGCAGGTGAAACCAATCTGTGATTGTAGCATTCAAAATAGTGGTTACCCTTGGAAGGGTGGTTTGTAACTAGAAAAAAATGCAAAGTATTTTCTGCGGGGTTTGGTTTGGTAGTGTTCTGTTTCTTTTCCTGATCTGGGCACTGGTGACAGGATATGTACGCTTTGTGCCGAACACTTATGATTCATTCACTTTTGTGCATGCATGTTATACGTCAATAACAATATTAATTTTTTAAAAAAGGGCCAGGTGCAGTGGCTCTCACCTGTAATCCCAGTGCTCTGGGAGGTCGGGGTGGGAGGATTGCTTGAGGCCAGGAGTTCAAGACCAGCCTGGGCAATATAGAGAGATCCCGTCTCTATTTAAAAAAAAAAAAAAAAACTACCCAGGTGCAATGGCGTGTGCCTGTAGTCCCAGCTACTCAGGAGGCTGAAGAAAGAGGATCACTTGAGCCCAGGAGTCGGAGGCTGCAGTGGCACTCCATAACGGCATCATAGCACTCCAGGCTGGGCAGCAGGGCAAGACCCTGTCTCTTAAAAAAAAAAATTAATACGACTAATAAAAAAAAAACGCTAACAAGAAAAAATCTAGGAGAAAATGGACTTTTATCCAATGGGTTGTTTCCCCAACACCAATGAATTTTAGTGTCTACACTCTCTGCTCACAAAATCTGAAGGACACACATATTTCTGAGCATTTTCCTATTGCATTTTAATAAATGGCAGAAATGTTACTCTACAAAGCTTCAATACCATAAAAAATAAACATGTTTTCAAAACTCCAAATTCATTTGTCAAGCTTTATGTTCTGTGAGACCCCGTCTGAAAATGTCTTCGGGTTTTATAAATGCATGCTGAAATATAAAGTAACTTTTATAAGAAACAAGATTTTTAATGAGACAGAAGTGGTTGGGCCAGGGGTGAAGGGAGTGAAAACCAAGAAGATGGAGGAGACGAGACAATTCCCAATCAGCAAAATTCAAGGCTTAAATTTCCAGTGGCTGCCAGAGCCCTGAAGTAACTCTGGGCCTGGAAGCCAGGAAGTCCAAGCTGAAGCTACGGACTCAAAGACAAGCTCAGGATCTGGGGGCAAGATGGCAGCTGAAGTGTGGAGACTCAGACACAGGCAAAAGAATCCAGAATGCTGCTGGATGATGACTATAAGCTACCAGGAGGTTATGAGAGGAGTGATCTGCACTTCCTGACCCGGCTCAGGAAACAGTGGCTGGGCGTGGGCAGCCTTGGGTACATAAGGAAGTGACTTCAGCCGATCATGGAATAAGAGGATGTAACCTTGGGTGTGCTCTGACCTGCAGCAGGGATGAGCAAGCCGGGCTTACCCAGAGGTTCTTTCTCTACTGGGTGTGAGTTTCTAAATATACACACACTCATCTGTTCAATCCATTCAAATATTTACCCTCATTGAACAGGACTTCTGAGGCTTTTGGTTTCGACTGCCCTAGTTGCCAGCTAAGACAGCAGTAATCTAGAACCTGGCTCCTGAGCCCACCAGTACCATCTCAGTCCCTTGCATGAGAAGGGGAGTAGTGAACCCGAACTCCAAGAACAGCAAGCACTTGCCATATCATCCATTCCCCAGTGACTTCCACTAGCAAAGGGAGACTTTTAAAAAGAAAAAAACCCAGGCAACTCCAAAGTCATTTGTAAAATGTTATTTACTCTCCTCCTAAGTAGAATGACCTTCCTAAACTGTCTGGTTTGGGCTTATCAAAAAAAAAAAAAAAATATATATATATATATATATATATGTATGTATTTGCCTCCTCAAAAACAGGGACTTTGAATAAGTTTTGTGGCCAGGGGAACAACACTGAGACGCAAACTGGAGGCAAGGATGTCAAATGCACCCAATGAGAATATCTATCCCTCTCCCTGCCAATCTCCTCTCTCACCACTCCCACCACCTCTTCTTTCCCCAAATCATAAAGTGTCACTCACACCTTCACCCTCTGACATGACGATTAGAGAGTCCAGGTAGTGGGGTCACATGGAGAGAACCTTGAAACTTGTCGTGAATTTTTAAAAGTCAGCACATTCTAGAATTCACACACAGTGACCCTCCCTTCACTATCTAGAGCAAGCAAAGGTCCTCACTTTGGGAGACTTCTCATTTCCCTGTTCTGGCCTTAAAGCAGCCCTGCCAACTGCAGAAGAACGGTGCTGGCAGATGAGAGATGCACCAGGCTGTTCAGGCATCTGGCCACAGGTTGAGTCTTTCACCTGGGAAATAACATCATGTTCTCCACGGCAATGAGTATGTGTTTCCTGAGTTTAAGAGAACTTTAGCAAGCAGAACTCAGTTCTGCAAGGCAGAACAAACTTTAGCTACAGAGAGAAAGAGAAGGAAAACAGCTCCAGGCTAGACTCTGATCATTCCCACATGAAGCCTCCTTGGAATGGCTTCCTGGTTGCCCTTAAAGTTCATCTTAAAGGTACCAACACCTAAATCATAGGCTTATTTAGGTGCACCAGAGACACAGCTGCACAAAGCCACCCGCATGACCTGGGATACGTGTGTGCTTACAGGGGGATTCTATGGGAAACTGGACCACAGGAGCTTTAGCGATGGCTTGGAAACAACTTCCTGAAGGCAATATTGTTAGATGCCGAAGTATTTCACTACCAAGGTTCCCCATAAATACTGAGGAGAGAGGGGAGCAGTGGACGAACGAAGAAGGCAATGACTCAATAGTTCCTGGTTTCAAGTTATTTCCAACAGATGCAGAGAGCTGGATGAAACGACCATTTCATTTCTACATTGGCCATTTCATGGCCATTTCTGCAAAACTGTCCCCCTATACCAAGGTTTCTCAACCCCAGCACGATTGATATTTTGGACCAACAACTCTGTTGTAGGGACAGTTGTTCTGTGCATTGTATAATATTCAGCAGGATACCTGTTTTCTACACACCAGATGCCAGTAACACCCTTCCTGCAGCCCAGTTATGACAACCAAAAAATGTCTCTGGACATTGCCAACTGTCCCCTGGGAGCCAGAGCTAGGGAGTACAGAATTGCCCCTGGTTGAGACCCACTGCCCTACACTAACAAATCATGTTTGATCCTAGTCCTGGGTGAAGGGAGTGAAAACCAAGAAGACCAAGGAGATGACACAGTTCCCAATCAGCAAAATCCAAGGCTTAAATTTCCAGTGGCTGCCAGAGCCCTGAAGCCTTCACTCCCATAGGCATGATCCCAGTCCTGGCCTCTCAGTGTAATCATCCACTTTGTAAAGAGTTGAGTAAATTTAGCCTGGTCATTATCTCCCAGGGCATTAAGAAAACAGAAGCTCCTCCAGACAAGTCACCACCATCAGATCTGAGGAGTGGGAGAGGGAGCCAGCAGGGGAAGATGTCCTGTCACCCACAGACCTCCACTCTTTAATCCCACAAAACCCACCTCTTCCAAGATACATCGACACCAGGGCAGAGACTCAGCCAACCAAAGAGAAACTCCCAACTGTCCAAGAGTCTCACAGCCACTGTGTCCCCATCATAATTCACTTCAGTTGTTGGGTATACAAATACCATCTACGTGGCTAAGTTTCTGGGAGGAGGGAAAGTACATCTCAGTCCCTCAACACTTGTTCGACTAACCATCCCAGCTCCTGGCTTTCCTCCACTTGTCCACCTTGACTGAAAGGTGTCCTTGGTGCCAGATGCCCTAAAGAAAATCTACCAATGCTAGGGTCTTGCCCTCCAGGGCCTTGGGAGTCAAGGTTGGCAGCATTGGCTAAGAGGCATAAAAGAAGGTGAAGGTACTGAAGTGGAAATTCCAGACACACAAGGGAGAGACAGACAGATGGATGGAAGACTAAGTCCAAGGGACAGCATCAGTGGTGGGGGTGGAGCCAAGTCTTCAAGGGACAGAGTCAGGGAGGCCTGTGGGACAGGCTGACAAGCTTCTGGGCTTTGGAAAACGGAAGATCCTGTGTAACCACACACTTTCCCAAGCAGAGATGATGCTGACTGTGTTACTGACTGTAAATCTAGTCCACTCAGGGCTGGGTTTGGCTCACTCTGGGCCGGCCCCCCACCAGCTACAGTTTTGCTAAATTTAGTGCTGTTCCCAGCCACCCAAACGACTCTGCTCTTCGTGTCCATTTCAGGTTCAGTCAGGGACAGACAGAGAGGAATGGGACTTGTCCAGAAGAGATCTGCCCTCATGTGACCCTCTCCCTTCCCCGCTGAAGTCAGGGGCCCCAGGGAGCAGAAGATGTGAGAAACCAGTTGGAGGTCTCCAGGGCTCTGAAGCAGGCTCTGCCCTCTAGGTGGCATGCAGAGTGAGAAGGGCCACTGATCCCAGGAAGATCACCCCACACCACCTAGGTTTCACTCTTTGGGGGTCACAGATGCTGTGGGGTGGCAGGGGTCCTACTCCCTCAGATACTATATGGCATGGTGGGTGGACAGACAGACATCCTCAGGGTAGGACTGGAGGAAGGCCCCTCTGCAGTGCTTTGGAGAATCTTGGAGATAAAAAATGTATTCAGTCAAATATTCAGAGGCTGTAAAACAGAGAAGGTTAAGGGAGTGGTCCTTAAACCTGGGTGCACATTGGAATCACCTGGGAAGCCTCAAAAACTGATGCCTGTGTCCCAGCACCCCAAGAGACTCTGATGTAATCGACCTGGGATTTGGAAATTCTGAAAGATTCCAAGGTGATTCTAATATTCAGACGAGTGGGAAGCAGTGGGTTAACAGCATGCCCTGCTGCTGTCACTGAGTTCCGCCTTTCAGGCTGCCCTGGTAGACTCCTCACCCAACTACTGCCTTGCTATGTCACCCACCAAGGGCAAGTTATTTAACCTCTCTACGCCTCAGCTGCACCAACTGTAAGGTGCACATAATGATACAGAACATCTATCTCTAAGGTTGTTGTGAAGCTGTAATGAGACAATCCATGTAAAGCACACAGAACATGGTATACAAGATGTGTTCCCTGAAAGCTAGGAATCATTATTATTATCTGTTATAATGAGGAGGAAGAGAAGGAAAAAACAGGGAACCCATAGAGCTGGGTCTACATTGCCCAAGGAATAAAAGTCTCTAGCACTAAGCCATGACCATCTCAGGAAGTGGGCAAGAAGAGGCTCCACGGCCATCTCCACAGTCCTTTCAGGAGGACACTCACCCATTCCCCCTGCTGCTGTTCATGCTGTTTCTCCTATCTTCCAAGCCCTCCCCTCTTCCCTTCTTTCTAAATCCCACCACTCAGGGCCCAGCTCTGACCACCCCAGGGCTCTCTCCCTTCTCAGGTGAGAAAACCCTGAGGTCTCTCCAATAATACTTCCCCTCCATACCTATCGGTCTACAGGATGAATGAATGCTTTGATATGGACTAGCCTTGTAGCCTCAAAAGGAGGCTACAAATAAGCAACTTGGGAGGAGGGCCTGATTCTCATGCTTCTGTGTGTTCCCTATGACACCTAGCACCATGCTGGGCACACAACTCTGGATTAATGAATATCTGTGAAATGAAAACACATGTTGAGCCAGCAAAGCTAACTGCACATCAGCAAGAATCCAGGCTCAGTGTCCAAGAGAAGCAGGCCCAGCACCCAAGTTGCTGGCCCAGCTCCCCATTCCATCATTACAAGGACACACCACCACCCAACTCCATCATAAGAGATCCCACCCACCTAGTCCCAGAGCCTGTGGCTCCTGCCAGAAAGCCACTGACCCCCATGATTCCCTAAACCCCAAAAGAGCCAGGAAAAACCCAGCTCTGCCCACAAGGGAGTCCAGAGCAGCTGGCCACCCAACAAGCTGTAAGCCTCTTACAGATTAAAGGTCCTAATTTAAACCTCTATTTGAGGTACGACAAGTGGGTCAACACTCTGCAGGTCGGTCAGTGCAGCTGGTGGAAGGAGAGGCAACTATGACCCAAGAAAGGCTCTTCTTCTTCGGGGGGAAAGATGGAGCCAGAGAATCACAGATCTAAGTGGAATCACTGAGGTGACAGGAAGTTCATTCTGATGCACCACGAATCCTACCCCCACCCTGCCCCCAGATCGCCGGGACTCCACCCTCCCTAGGCAACGAACCTGAGAAACAGAGAATATAAGGACAAAACCACAGTCGGGATGGCCTTCCTCTTCCTGCTATGGCTTTGGTATGTGGGGAAGAAGGAAATTTGCTGCTAAAAGATAAAATTTTTTTAAAGCGAAGAGACAGTTAATAAAGCCAGGAACCAAGAGAAGAGGGAAGGGGCTGGATATGCTGCTGCATTCTAGGGAATCATACCCTGGTGAGAAGACAGGGAAGGTGACCTTTGCTCCTAAACCTGGCTGAGGTTTTCCTGATCTTTCTCCCTAGCTCCTCCGCAGCAGGAAACACCAGGCATGGGTGAACAGCTGCAGACAAGCCTAGGATCATGCTGTCAGAAGCTGACTCTGGCTGCTCTTTAAAAAGAGCCCTCTCACCACATCTGTCTCCATAGAGATGGCCTCTGGGGAAGTGGCTGGAACCCACTGTCTACACTAAGAGCAGAGAAATCCTTCCAGGACAATGTTTCTCAAATTTTCTGGACCCTGATTCATAGTAGGAAATCAATGTTATGCAGTAGCCCAACACAGGCATATATGTGCACTTATCTATATGTATCACTCTCTCTATATATATAACTGAAACAAAGTTTCATGAAATAATACTCATCTTTACTACGTACTACGCAATCTAATATTTTCTATTCTATATATATTTTAAAGGCTGGTCTCAACCCGCTAAATTGATCTCACCCATTATGGCCTCTGGACCTGCAGTTTGAACATTACTCTGCAGGAAATGGAAGAGGCTCTTCTCCTTGAAAGAACTTTTAAAATTCCCTCACAGACTAACCTCCCTACAAAGAAAATTCCTGCTAAGCCAATGAGTGAGGTGAGAAAATTGGAACCTCAGTTGCCCAGTCCTTTCTCTGCAATATGCATAAGCCGTGGCTGCCTCAGAGAGCCCCAGTCTGCCCCACCTCTCTCAAGGTGCAGGAGCTCCCCCCACACCCGCAGTGATGCCTCCTGGTACTGGCCTAGCACCTAAGCACAAGCCAGTGCAGGGCTGATTGTCACCATCATTCACTGGGATCAAGCATTGCCTCACCACCCCTCAACCTCACCCTCCACTAAAGGAATTTACCTATAACACACAAAGGCAGAAATGCCAGCACTGTGCTGCCCACATTGGCTTTTTTCCCCTCCAAACAGCCTATCTATATATCAGATGTGCTACAAAAGCCTGGAGGATGGGAAGTTTTTCATCTTTTTTTTTTTTTTTTTTTTTTTTTGAGATGGAGTCTCGCTCTGTCACCTAGGCTGGAGTGCAGTGGCGCGATCTTGGCTCACTGCAACCTCCGCCTCCCAGGTTCAAGTGATTCTCCTGCCTCAGCCTCCCAAGTAGCTGGGACTACAGGCACGCTCTGCTAATTTTTTTATTTTTATGTTTTTTAGTAGAGACGGGGCTTCACTATGTTGGCCAAGACGGTCTTGATCTCTTGACTTCGTGATCCGTCCGCCTCAGCCTCCCAAAGTGCTGGGATTACAGGCATGAGCCACCATGCCCGGCCTGTTTTTGTTTTTTTAACTGATGGTACAGATACACATTTTATGGGAATCTTTTTAATGTCAGGAAAAAAAAACAATCCAACCTTAAACCTCCCTCAGCCCAGTCTTCCTGCTTTTCCAAGAGGCCTGCGAAATACCTCCTCCTCCAGACAGCCCTCCCTGATGGATGAGGACAGCTAAGGAATTCTACAAACCCTATGCCATGGTAATATAAAACTCTAATGACTCCTTTCCACACTCACCATTCCCACAAATGTAACATGCTGCCTCTCTGAATCCATCATTATGGCCTGGGTGGGTATCTAAGTTGGAAATCATGTTACAGAAAAAAACTTAGCATAAGCATTCAATATTTTGAATCAGTAAGTTGTAAAGGTTATTTTTTTTTTATTTTTTCCAAGTAATAGAACAGGTATTTTTGTCCCCTGCTAAGTGGAGCAAACGCTGGATCTCTCCATTTGTGTCAGTGTGCAGACTCCCATTCCCCACTGCTTTCCCAAGCTCCTCGGAACCACTGTCATGCTTGCTGCTTATCAGCGCCCTCCAAACCCAGAATGTCCACTCAGTGCATTTGGGCAAGTCCCAAAGACTCCAGGAGAAAAAGCATCTTATCACCACCATAAGAGCGCAGTGAGCATTTGACGGCTCACCAGCCTATAGCAGGATTTTTTTTGTTTTTGTTGTTGTTGTTGTTGTTGTTTTGTTTTTGAGATGTAGTTTCGCTCTTTTTTGCCCAGGCTAGAGTGCAATGGTGCAATCTCCGCTCACTGCAACCTCCGCCTCCTGGGTTTAAGCAATTCTCCTGCCTCAGCCTCCCGAGTAGCTGGGATTACAGGCACACGCCACCGCATCCAGCTAATTTTGTATTTTTAGTAGAGACAGAGTTTCACCATGTTGGCCAGGCTGGTCTTGAACTCCTGACCTCAGGTGATCCACCCATTTTGGCCTCCCAAAGTGCTGGGATTACAGGTGTGAGCCGCCGCACCTGGCCCCTATAACAGGTTTTTATAACTTGGGATCTGTGAATCCTCTGACGGTGTATGCCAAATTGGGGCTTTTATTATTTTTTTCTCCTGGAGAGACTATAGCTTCCATGCAACTTCTAATATGAACTGGCAGGAAAATAAGTTAAGAGCCACCAAAACCAAATTCTTAGAAAGTTAATCGAGGGCCTCCCAAGACTGCCTCTACCTCTCCAATACACAGCCCTTCCTCTGCCACTTACACTCTCTCTGAACATCCCAACCTCCTTCTGCCAACAAGCCATTTCCTCCTTCAGTTTTGTGGTGGTCTGGCATGAACTTTCAGGTGAAGTCCTCTCATCCTTGAACACTTACTTATTAACAAACACCTATTTACTGAGCACTTGATGGGGCCAAGCATCATGCTAGGCTCTGAGGATACAGCCATAAACAAGATGGATGAGATCTTCCTTGTGTTTCCAGAGACATCCTCCAGCTCCCAACCCCATTTAAGGCTAATACAACAGTTTCTTACACTTCATTTGTGTCACATTTACACACTATTTTAGGTGAAGGTATCTGTCTACCTCACTTATTCCTTCTCCATCCCCACCCCACTCCATCCAAAAAGAGAAACAGACACAGAATCTTTCACAGAGGCCATCCTAAGTAAATGCACATCAATCCATGAATGCTGATGGGCTCACCAGTGGTCCAAGCAGCAAGACTAGCATACCAGGGCAAGCCTGACTCAGCAACACAGGGTCCAGGGGACCTTGGGAGATGTCTCTGTTGCAGCAAAGAGAGCATGGGGCCTCTGTTCCTCAGCCACAGCCTGCAGTTCTCATTCCAGCTGCTGATCTTTCAAATTGTGCATGCAGTCAGGGAAGTTAGAAAAACAACGCCCAAGTAGATGTGTCTGGCTGACCTACCTCCTGGACTATCCAGGTGGAGGAGAAGCATACATCTCAGATATCTGCACCAATACTTTCAGCATGTAAACTGATGGAAGACATCAAACAATGCATCAAAGACATATACCCCTCTCATGAAGAAGAGAGCTGGCTGCTCTAGATACCACAGCCATCTCTTCTAGCAATCTCTGCCAGCTCATTTCCAGAGCATCTGAACACAACCATCTACTTCCTAAATCACAACATGGCAGTGACTAGAGCTGCCACCATCCCTTTCTACCTGTCAGATGCAGAAGGATGCACAGCCAACAGTAACAGGACCACAGAGCTGTTTCTCTAATATCACAAAAGCTTTCAATACTGTTAATGAAATGGCTCTAGCAGCCACCAAAGAAATCTGCTACTGGACTTTGTTGTCCAAGAAATATGACCTTATGGTACTGAGGTCAGAGAACAGGACACTCCTCAGCACTATTCAGTCAACAAATATTAGTGAAACACAGCACTGTCAGGTACTATAAACAACAGAAAAGACAAGACTCAACCTTTATGTCAATCAAAGGTTGTTAGGGAAGCAAGGTTACTATAGAAGAAACAATCAGAGCAATCATCTCTAATGTGGCATGTATAAGCAGATCCACTAGGATGAAGAAGAAAATATTACAATGTTTATACTTTACCAAAATACAAAAAATTAAATTTTACTATTATTTAATACGGGAATTGACACTGACACACTCCTTCAATTTGTGTGTTGGGTGGTTGCTGTATTTAAGGTACCAGAGGAATCCTTGTGTCTGAGTAGGAGATCCAGATGCAGAAGGGTAGACAGTGACACCCCCAGTTGCCTGTTGATTTAGTACAGTTTACATCTGCCCAGTGAAGCAAAGTTAGAGACACCATCTTCAATACAATAAACAACAGTCCTTTGTAATAAGACGGTGAGACCCGAACGTCATCTGACCACATTGTCACTAATTATCTCGTGGTAAAAATATCTAAGAGTTGCTCAGCTTAGAGAAGAATCAGGCCAGGTACGGTGACTCACACCTGTAGTCCCAGTGCTTTGGGAGGCCCAAAACAGAAGGATCTCTTGAGACCAGGAGTTCAAGACCAGCCTGAGAAACACAGCAAGACCCCCGTCTCCACAAAAATTTAAAAATCAGCCGGGCATCATGGAGCACATTTGTAGTTCTCACTACCAGGGTGGCTGAGGATTGCTTGAGCCCAGGAGTTGGAGGCTGCAGTGAGCTATGATTGTGCCACTGCACTCTAGCCTGTGCAACAGAGTAAAACTCTGTCTCAAAAAAAAAAAAAAAAAAAGAGGAATTATACTTTTTTTAAACCAGAAAACAAGAGTTCTAAAATGTGCTGACCTCTTCTGTAATGAGTGCCAGTAAGTAGAATGCTACTTAATGGGTATTTTTAAACAAACAAATAAATACTCTGTATCTTTATGGTGAAAGTAGAATTTTTTTTAATGGGTAAGAAAGCCATTGTTCTTTTAAAACAGGCACTTGGAAATCATTTCTACCATTATGTGATAATGTTGCCAATTTCAATGTAAGGATGTCATCTCTAAAATCTCCTTATCTGCACACACTCAAAACAGAACATCAAAACTTGTTTTAAAATCTCCCAAAATGAAGTATTTCAGGGGTCTTGAACCCATTTATTAAATTCAACATATAAAAGTATTAAATTTTGCAATGAGTTTGTAAGAACAACTGATTGATATCAAGACTGACTGAAATATATTAGCTGGATTTCAACAAAAACCTTTGCAGAAAACAGTGGATGTGACTAAAAAACAAGTTATCAAGATTTCGTAAGTATAATCCAGGATGAATTTCTGCCATGGGCATCTGCATATCATTGTGAGGTCTCTTTTGAAATATCCTGACTCAAAACAGAACTTCTAGCTGCAAATGACACCAAGCTATTCTGAAATAATAAATTATGCTCAATTGCAATGTTCTTAGTGAAAAAGAATCATTCTTAATAGATAATTTCACTTAATTCTTCAACAAATATCCATCTCTTATATACACATGTCAGGCACTATTCCATGCTCTGAGATATAGCAGGGGACAAAACTCACAAAAATCCCTTCTCTCATGGAGCACATATTCCAGTGGGGAGAGAGAGAAAATATACTAATATAAATAAATAGTATGCCAACTGGTGAAAAAAACACTACATGAAAGGGATGCAAGGAAGGCTAGAGAATGCTGGGGGCTTGGGGGACCCTCTGAGAAAGTAACATCTGAGCACAGACCCAAAGGAAGTAAGAGATTTAACCACAGGGCTATCTGGGGAAAAGCATTCCAAACAGAGGGAACTGGAGGTACAAAGGCCCTAAAACAGGAAATGCCTAGTATACCTAAATAACAGCAGGAGGCCAGTGATGCTGGAGCGAAGTGCAAGTTGAAAACAGTAACAGGAGATAGATACAGAAGTAACGTAATAAAGCCGGGTAAGGTCGTATGGACCTGTATTGTGCAAGATGGCAGCCACTAGCCATGTAAGGCTATGGAGTACATGAAATGCAACTAGTTCACATGGAGATGTGCTTTGACTATTACTTAGTACAACAAACAAACAAAACAAAAGCAACGTAACATATCTCAGAAGTGAAAATACTGTTAACATACTGGGCTAAATAAAATACATTATCAAAATTAACTTCGAGTGGTTCATTTTCCATTCATTTTTCCTTTATCAAAAACTTTTAAATTACCTACGTGACCCTCATGTGTAGCTTACATTATATTTCTATTGGGCAGTGATGAGATAAGCTATGAGGTCTTATGGACCACAGTAAGGGTGATTGCTTTTACTGAGAGAGAAGAAAAGCCACTGCAGGGTTTGGGCACAGCAGAGCATGATGTGACTTAACATTTCACGGATTGTTTTCGCTGCGGGGAGGACTACAGCCTCTAAGGGGCAATAAAGAAGCAGATGAGAGAGGATGGTGGCTTGGACCAAGGTGGTGGCAGCGGAAGTAGTTCTGATAGATGAAATTTTGGATATATTTTACAGGTAGAGTCAACAAGACTTACTGATGAACTGGATGAAGGACAGATGAGAAAGAGGGAAATCAAGCATGACCAGAGGTGTTTTCGATAAGCAACTGGAAGAACAGCATTCCCATAAATGGGATGGGGAGACTGCAGGAAGAACATATTGGGGAGGGAAACCAGGAGTTCCATTTTGGACACGTTTAGTGAAATATCTGTTAATATCAAAGCTGAAATACTAAACAGGCAGATGGAGACACAGGTCTACAGTTCAGAAGAGAGTTTGGGCTGCAGACAAATGATTAAGGGTCAACAGCATATAGACTTTTTAACTTTCCATTATAGAAAATTTCTGGGCTGGGCGCGGTGGCTCACGCCTGTAATCCCAGCACTCTGGGAGGCCAAGGTGGGTGGATCACGAGGTCAGGAGATCGAGACCATCCTGGCTAACACGGTGAAACTCCGTCTCTATTAAAAATACAAAAAAATTAGCTGGGCGTGGTGGCAGGCACCTGTAGTCCCAGCTACTCGGGAGGCTGAGGCAGGAGAATGGCGTGAACCCGGGAGGCGGAGCCTGCAGTGAACCAAGATTGTGCCACCGCACTCCAGCCTGGGCGACAGAACGAGACTCCTCAAAAAAAAAAAAAAAAAAAAAAAAAGAAAGACAATTTCTAACATAAGTAAAATGAGAGAGAACCGTATAATAAACCCCCAGGTACCCATCACCCAGCTTCAACAATGATCAGCTCATGGTCAATCTTATTGATCTCCCAGGATTACACTGAAGCAAACTCTGGAGATCACTCATATAGATGGTATTAAAAGCCATACAACAGGAGAGGATCACAGACAGAATGAGAGAAGATAGAGAGGAGGTGCCCAGGGCCTTTAATGTTTAGAGGTCAGGGAGATGAGAAGCCGAGAAGGAATGGCCAATTAGGCAGATGGAAAGCCAGAAATACACACCCTGGAAGCCAAGTGAAGAAACAGCGTCAAGGAAAAGGGTATGATCAGCGGTGCCAAACTGAAGAGCTCCTGTGAGGAAGATGAAGAAGTGACCACTAGAGTCAGGATCATGGGAGTTACCATGGACCTTGCCAGGAGCACTTTCATCAGAGTGGTGTGAGTCAAGAGAGGATGTGAACACAGCAAGGACTGAAAATATGGAGGGACAGATGATGGGGCAGTAGCTGGGAGAGGTGACCAAAGAAGACTTTTTGAAGATGAGAAAGCCTTTGGAAACGATCGAGCAGGGGGAAAAAGTGGTGATGCAAGGAGGAGGGGACAGGCTGGGGCAATGTCGAATATGTGAGAGTAACTGAAATTTAGGGCAAAGTAGAAGGCTGCCCTCGGACAGAACCATGAAGAGTTCATTTAGGAAGAAGGTAGGGAATACAATATATCCTAGCCATTTGAAGTCTTTTGTTTTGTGTTTTATAATACTATAATGTATTTTAGCACAGCACTACTTTTTATAAATTATAAATACACACACAAACAAGGGGAATTGCTCAAAAGTTTTAACTGATATGGGCACACAATCAAAACGATTAAAGACCACTTAACTGAAAGAAAACAAAACATATCATCAGAGGCTGAACATGCCTTCAGTGACAAGGAGATATGTATCATAAGGATACTAGGTTTTATATCTGAAAATATACTTTTATTAACTAAGATTTTTTTAAAGGCTCAGACACTATAATCCAGTAACTACAATACAGTTGCATTTGAACTGAAAATGCAAAAATATAAGAAGAATCATGGACCATTCTCAAAATCAGAGCATCACAGGAGTCAGAGTCTGATTATTTACTTACATAAAGAAATGTAAATCAGTTAAAAGTTTTATCAGCAAGACAGGCCTGAATTGTATCATCATATTTAGCTACTGAGGCAGACTGGCTAACCAATACACAACGAACAGCAAATCAAGAAAGTGGGCCTGTCATCTGAAAGGCTGGCAGGTAGCCTAACTGGAACAGGCAAAAGCCCCAAACCAACCTGAAGTCCACAAAGCCACAGAAACATCCAATTTGCTCAAACATATTAGCAACACTTGGCTTTTGCCAAGCCCTGTAACAATTCAGAGCCCCCCTCTTTAAACGTGTTCATTTAGCCTCTCCACAATCCACCAATTCAGGAAGCTCTCCATTTTAACTTTCAGAGCTATCCACACTCAAGCCCAAAAGTGTTACATGGATACACACAAGGCCCAAGCAGCACCACAGTTAGAATGCCGGGTCGTGTGGCTATGAGACACAGGCCTGCCACAGAAGCCATGCCTGGCTTCTTGAACATTCTAGGCGCACCTTTGTCAACCACATAAAATGACAGCATGAGAGCATGAACACCAAGCTATAAAAACGTGGCAGGTCTGCCTGCACAGAAGTGACGGTTGTGGTCACACTGCTCAGCTGGGGTGAACGCACGGGGAAAACTGCCAAGCAGCAGCTCTCCTGTGGTCAAACTGTAAGCTCCAGGAGTTGGGCCCTGTCTGTCCTTTTCACAGGTGTAGGCCCAGTGTCCAGTACAGCTCCTGAAACAGAGCAGGCTCCCAAGAAACATCTACTGAAGGAAGGGAAAAATGACTAGCTACATTAAACCATAAAGGCAAGAGGGATCATGAAAAAATGCTCAAAATCATAAAAATCATCTAACAAAACTCAGGAAGCTGTTGATGGCAGCTGACTGGGAAGAATCGTGGGTAGCTAAGTAAATCTAAAAGGTAGAATTGCAAAACATAAATTCTTTTAAGAATGACCATAATCTTTATTAACAGAGCCTTGAAGATTTGTCATCAACTAAATGAAACATGAGGATCTTGTTTGGAGCCTGACTCAAACCAACTGGCTGTTTTCAAAAAAAAAAAAAAAAAAGAAAGAAAGAAAGAAATTGAGACATCGAAGGAAAGTTAAACACCATTTGGATATTTGGATGACAGGAGATATTTAGGGATGACTGTGCTTTTTCAAGGTGTAATAATACCACTAGGGTTAAGTTTTTAAAAGGTATTATCATTTAGAGATATATTAAAAAGTATTTATAGATAAAATAATACAGGATCTAGGTCTTGCTGTAAAATAATCCAAGAAGGGAGTAAGAAAAAGGTGGGTGAAGGTATAAAAGAAATGAGAAAAGCCATGTGTTGATTACAAGTCGAAAAACTGGGGGATGGGAACATTGAGGTGTATTACGCTAACTCTATCTTTGTGTACCTGTGAAAATTTCCATTGACAAATTTGAAAAAAAAAAAAAAGACTAACCATAATGTCAAACCATAGTTAATTTCCTCGCATTTGCCGCACTGTTGGAAAATAACTGAGAGGCATTTTTAGTCATACATGGACACAGTGGTTTCTGAGGAGACCAGCAGAACAGAGCTGAGAGTCCCATCTTTTCTTTATCCCTGCCATCATGTTCATCTGAGACTCACTTGTGTCATTTCTGCTTTCATCCTAGGCCTGAAGAGGTCTCCATGTTTCCTCTCACAATGGCTCCTACTCTCCTTCCACTCTTCCCTTCTCTGCCGCTGGTTAGTTCTTCACAATTCTGGTGGCCCTCTGCTATACCCAATGATCCTGACTACCTCTAACCCACCTTTGTAGCCAGGTTATATTCCTTCCTTCTCATGGCCCTAATGCCAATGGATTCTGTCATGCCCATACAGCTTTAACCCTTCTCTTTTCCTTAAAGGCAGTCACTTAAAGGCACTCATCGTCATACATCCAAGTATGTCCATCTTCCCCCAAATTTGTCACACTTGCTGCGTTAAGCACCTCTCTTCCTCCACTTACCCACTCAGATTCCTCCTGCACATTTCCAGGACAGATCAAACAAGGATGGGTCAGCCAATAAATATCTGAGGCCTATTGTGTGCCAAGCTCTCCACTCAGCACTGGGGTGACAGCAAAGGACAAGACAGATACAGACATGCTCTCTTGAAGCATGTGATCCAGTGCAGATGGAATTAAAATTGGTTCAGCTGCCCATAAACCTTCCAGATCAAACTGTGAATCTTTTATTTACCTCTGTATCCTGAGAACTTCACACAGCGCCTGCCATATAATAGATCTTTAATAAATATCTGATAAATGATATTTATTTATCCAAGTCAGTGCAGTTGTCTCAACATAAGTTTAAGACCATATAGTATGGGGTCACCCTAAACCCTACAAATGAAAAGATATTTAAGAGAGAATGTTTTCTTTATAACAGCCTCTGGGGAAACTGTGTCGGGGAGGTATGAAGGAATGCTCCTAGAGCCAGAGTTACCATTACCAGCTAAAAGCAGCTCTAGGTGTGCTCGACTTCTGTCTTCTTTGCTATTATGGATTGTCTGCTCCCTCCTCCTGCTGCTGGCCTCCTCCCTATCAAGTGTAACGAGAATCAACCTCAGTCACCTCCGTTCCCCCTGCTACTTCCAGCAAGTGGTTTCCTCCTGCTACCAACGTGTCTCACTTCCTATCTGAGCAGAACTGCCCCAACTGCTGGGCTGCTGCTGTTCTGCAGCAGCGAGAACTTTAGCCCTGTTCCTAGCTAGGAGTTTCAGCAAGACTCTGGCTTGAGGACCAGGTCAAAAAGGTGGAAACTAGGACACAGAAGGACTCCATGAAGGTTGGCTGCAGGAATAATGAATGCTGATTCCAGTCCCAAGCCAACACAGACACATGTCCCACAAACGCCAAGCCCAGGGCCTTATTCTGACAGAGTGGATGAGTGCCAGGTTCAGACAGACATGCCAGGCTGGGTTGCAGGCTCTCTCTGTGGCGGCATCTCCAGGACCTTGGCACTAAAGGTGCCAGTAAGATCAGAAACAATAGAGATATCAGGGGAAAGATCCTACAGGACAGGCGGAACCAATGAGCCTCCTTTCTCCTCACTCAACACTGGGCTTGGGTCAGTCCAGTATATCCTTGACCCAACACTTGGGTCAGTCCAGTATATCCTCTGTACTGCCCAGGGAAATCAGAATGAGAGGGACAGTAGCTTGTCAAACCCAGTCCTGCTGAGGAACTCAGGCCTCCAGGCTCCAGGGAAAAGGCTGAAAATGAAAGAGCTTTCCTAGATACAGAGTGACTATTTTTGAGCTGACTCTAATAATCTACTATTTCAACTACCAGATCATCCTCTCATGGGATCACAAAGACAGGCCCAATGCAGAATCTTTAAGAACCCTAGAAATCTGAAATAGCCATCATAAGCATCCTCAGTAAAAGGCCAAGCACTTTTCTGGTAGTCTACAGCAGGGGTTGACAAGTTTTTATCTTTTATCCTAAAGGGCAAGATAGTAAATATTTTAGGCTTATGGGGCATACAGGCTCCCTTGCAGTTACTCAACTATGCCCTTGTAGCATGAAACCAGCCTCAGACAATACACAAACAACGGGCGTGTCTCTGTTCCAGTGAAACTTTATTTACAAAAACAGGAATCCGGCCCACGGGCCACAGTTTGCAATCCCTGGTCATTGGGAAAACCTGCTCTTCCAGTATTTCCATGCTCCAAAGAGGAACAGAGGCTCCCATCCACCCGGAGGGCTCCTATCCACACTGAAGACAGGGACCCACTCTGGGGACTAGGCCTCCATCCCTACTAGTCCCTCCCACAAGGTACTAAGAAATCTAGGCTACTTGTTCAAAAAGCCTGGTCTGCATCAGAAACCTGGGCAAAGGTGGAAAAAGCTTTCCAGACATCAAATCAGAGGGCTTCAGAACTGGAAGAAGCTAGATCCCTAAGACTAGACACTTAGGCCTGGAAAAGGAAGTGGTGTGTCCAAGATCACGTAGCTAGCAAAAGTCTCCTGACTCTGTCCAGTGCTCTTACTCCTCCAGGGTGATAAACAGCTTGCTAGAAGAGGCCAAAGACTTGTGGCACATTTCTACAGCACGTCCCCGAGCTATAAGCAAATGGCACAAGACCTTGGGGGAAATAAGTGCATGCGTGTGTGTGTGTGTGTGTGTGTGTGTGTGTGTGTGTGTGTGTGTGTGTTTTTCCAGGTATACCTGGACATAGTTACTAGGGAGAGGAAAACTTAAACAAAAATCCTAACTTTAAAAAGGGATATGGTTTGGTAGAAGATGTGGGTTTTTGTTAGCAGAAATGTCCAGGGTCTGGGCAAGCCCTGGGATAATAAACCAGTACAAGGCATACAGCCTCACTCAATTCCAGGTAATGCCCCAGGCCCTAGGATCTACCTCTACCCACCTTCAAGCTTCATAATCCAATATCCTTCAAATCTTTTCCCAGAACTGACTTCCATTGCATATTTTACTTGCCTGACCATAAACATTTTTATTTGGATACCCTGCCATCATCTTGAAGGCAACATGTCTAAAAGAAAATCAAACATGACTCCCCAAAACAAGTTTGAACTCTAATGTTTCTATTTCTATAAATCACTAAGGTTCAAAATTTCAGCACTTTCTCTTCCCCACGTCCTGTCCTCAAGCCAGAGTAGCACTCCAAATTATCTCTTCTTCTTCATTTCCACAGGCTCCACCCTAACCTATCACCTCCGATCTGGTATGTTGCTAGTCTCCTGCTGGGGACCCCAGATTCCAGGCTTGCAACAATGCCAGATCTTCCCCCATATACTCATCCTCCTTTCATTCACCACAGTCTCTTCAAGGTCAAGGTCCAGTGCTACTCACCTTCGGCTTCCCAGTTCCCAGAACCTCACCTAATATGGGGGGCACACAATAAATGCTGAATGAATGAATCACGGTTTTCATCACAAGATGAAAGAAAAAACTTAAACAAAAATCTTAACTTCAAAAAGGGATACGGTTTGGTAGTTTTCATCACAAGATATCTGCACAAGAAACCTCAGGCCCTTCCTAGTTCCTACTCCCTCGAACCCAGACTGCTGAACTCTGAAGGCCCACCATCATCTCACCCTGCCCACCTCAGCTCCTACCAGCCCAGAAACAGGCTTTTGGCTCCATCTAGCTCATCAATGCTGGACCCTCCTCATGTGCCAGGCATTCCTGCATCCACATCTCTGCCCACGCTCTGCTCACCCTGCCCTGTGATGACGTCCATGCCCTTCCCCCTGCATCTACTCCAACTCCTACGCAACTGCCAACTGCCGAGCTGTGGGGGGAGACAGGGGATGCAGGAAGAGGGGAGATGATAAAGAAGACTGGGGAAAGGGGAGCATGATGAAAACATGCTGGGGTCTCTCTCTGATCCTTGGAAGCATAACCCTCTCAATGGGTCACAGGCGATTTAGAGAAGGAAGAGCCGGGAGGAGGAGCCAAATTTTTCCACTGAACGAAAGGCATGATTTTCATCACTGCTTCTGTTGCCCCGGTAACCAGGGACAGCCCAGTGGAGAGTACAGTAAAAGAACACCATGTTTATCTTTGCTGTCTGATCTACTTCCCTGTACACCCTTCCCTGACCATCCCCTAGCCCCAGGCCTGCTCCAAATCTCTTATAATGCCACCACCATCCTTCTAGTTACCCTTGCTCCTCAAAGGCAGAGCTAATTTCTCCCTCTCTTTATCCAACCCTAAGTACCATGTGTTCTTCCACTGCAACATTTTGGGGTTCATCTCGCCATGCCACCTGCCATGCCAGGGGTCCCCCAAAACAAAGAGCTGGTATCAAAGCACAAGGATGGCTTCTGCTCTACCAGACAGGGCAAGTGGGACTAGTGGGGCAGGAAGGTGAGGAAAACTGCCCAGCCAACCGTGTTCTCATCCCACACAGCTGGTGTGGAGAGGGACCTGGCTCTCCCAGCCCCCCTCCTATGGCTGAGATCAGGAGAAGGAGCCAGGTTGGGGATCGGGGGAGTAGGTTCACCCACAGGCTTCCACAGATCCTGCCTCCCACACGGACACCGTGTCTGCGTGACCTGAGAGCGGAGACACAGTGCTCGCCCTGGAAGATTATATAAGCGTTATATAACATGGTGGCACCAATAAGCACACAGGAGCAGTTGTCGAGTGCCAGGGACAGGCCAGGGGTGGAACCAAACCCAAGGGGCTGGAGGTTCAGCCCTCCTGCCACCAATGCCAAAGCAGCACCAGGCCCTGGCTGCCTCGGCCCTGTCTATACCTGCTCCTTCCAGCCCAGAGGACACAGAGAGAAACTTGCCAGGCTCTGCGCTCTTCTTCCCACTCTGGGCAGCAGGGAGGGGCCGCAAAACCGTCACCACCCTGGGCCATGGCAGCCTCTGCCCATCCGGCCTAAGGCAGCCTAGCTGCCTTTCCTGCAGGGGAGCAGCCATGGGGTCCTCGGCAGGGGAGGGGTGTGGACCAGTAGCCCCCTCCTCTCTGTCCTCCTACCAGAATGTAGGAGCACTTGTTTGGGGAACAAGTGCTGCAACAGCAGCTCCAGGATTGGCTGGGCCAGCCGTTCCTCTGCTCTGTCACTTGCTGTTTCTCTAAAAAACAAAACAAACCGAAAGGGAAAGAAAAAAAAATTAAGCACATTTGACAAATGCCAGATCCCAAATTTTGGTCTACGGTTGCAAAGCTGGAAGGAAGGGGTCCTAAGGAAATTACCCTATTTCCCTACAGCCCCCATCTCCCACCATTCCTGGCCAATTCACCATCTATGAACTTGGGCTGTGAGCCTGAAGATTGCTCCGCAGCCCCTATCTCTGGAGCTGCCTCAGTGGCTGTAGCTCCTTCGGGTAATATTCCCCCTCCCTCTACAGAATGCTCAGAGTCTGCGGCTCCCGGATATACACGCGGGACTAGGCGGCCGGCCTGGGGCAGTTCTGGGCAGTTTGGGCCAGGTCTTAATCAAACTCCTCCACCGTCATCACCACACCCACTTTATTAATTTGGCAGGGGTGGGGGCAGCTGAACAGAGACAGAGCCAAGTGATCTCCCGCAGCACCTGCCCTCTCCTGAGCTATGCCTCTGGCCTTCCCGCCTCCTCCTCCACACGGACCTCCGCGCCCCCTGAAGAAGGGGGGAAAAAGAAATACGCATTAATACCTCGAGCCTTGGCGCACCAGCCCTCGCCCCCTCAACCACCTGTCTCTGCGTTCTCCCCCGCAGCCTTCCTCAACTCTGGGCGCCCCCTCTGCAGCAAAGGGGCACCACGCCCACTGCGGAGAGGAGAAATGCAAGGTGGGGAGCGGACAGGGGCTCACTTGAGGGCCCGGGGGCTGCTCACTCACCCCTGCGCGCAGCTGGCCCTGGCCCCAGAGCCTGGGGCCCGCCCGGAGCTGCTCCAGGCCGCGACCGCTCCCACCCCCGCGGCGAGGCCAGCAGCGCCCCAAGGCCGCGCTGCAGCCGGGGTGGGGCGCGACCGGAGCGCGGCCGGGGCCCTGGGCATCGTCCCCAGGGAGCCCACCCTACCCCGGGACGCTCGGGGACCGCCCTGCAGGCCCGGCCCAAGGTGCCCACTCCCACCTGGCCGAGTCCCGGCTCTTACCTCGGCGGCCTTCCGCCCTCCGGGGGTACTGCGCAAACAGGCTCTCCCCCGGCCCCCGCCCGCCAAGCGCCCCGCTGCAGGCCCGAGATGCGCAGCCGCTGCGGACGCCGGCTCCGCGGCGGCCGCTTCCCGGGCGTGTGAGCTCAGCCTGCCCGCGCGCCCGCGCTTCCCACGCTCGGCGTCCCGCGCGGCGCCACCCAGCGGCCGCGTCGGGCGCTGCACGCTCGTGTCCGGGAAAATCTGCAGCAGCCGGGCCTGCCAACTGATTCGGAAATTCCCAGAATTTGACCATGGGCTTGCGGCGGGGCGGGAGACCTGTCAGGCCGTGTGGCCGTCGCTAGACTCGGGGCAGAGCAGCTCCCACCCACCCTGTCTCTGAAGGGGACTCCAGAGTCTTTGCAAGATATTCTGATTTCCCCCCTGTTCCTCTGACCTTGCCTCGCCATATTTCTTCCAGGGCAGTGGAGACTGTGGGGATGCTGGTGACTCCTTGTAAAATGGGGGTGGAGAATCGAGGGGTGGGAAATGGGTGGGAAGCGCTCGAGGCTGGCATCTCAAGGCCTCCATGGGCCCGTCTAGAGATCCGAGGTGTGCACTGAGTCACTTCCCGAGCTTGTTAGAACACACATGCACAGATGCCCCAGCCTACCTGTAAATTCTAATTCGGAAATTTCAACTGCTGTTTTTAACCTTTTCTTGTACCTACACCCTTCTGAGAATTGCAGAAGAGCTATGGACCCTGTCTTCAAAAAAAGCACATGCATACAGAAATATAATTTTGCACAATATTTCAGGGAATTCTGAAACTCCTCAAAGCTCCGTGGATCCCAGCTTAATATCTCACTTTGTGCAGATACCCTAAGCAGAAAGAGCGAGCTGGTGATTACCTGAATACGCTGCCATCTTATCTCATGCTTTTTCCTCCTTCAGGGATATCTCCACTGGACGCCCAACCTCACATTTCCGCCTGTAGAAATTCCACCTGTCCTTTAAGGCCAACTCGAAAACCTCTTCCTCTCTGATTTTCCCAATCAGCAATGTCATTTATGACCTCAGTTTTCTGAGAGTATGTCTTTTATGGCTGTTAACATGTTATAAACACACCTGTATTTATTTCTGTGGTTGGTTTTCTTATCTCCTTCTAGATAGCAAAACTGTTTTAAGATCAGTTTCTCCCTCTGCAACTACTAAGGGCCTTACATGGTATGCCTTCGACAAACAGTTCTTAAGTAATCAGAGAGATTGGATTGAGAGAATAGGAGGCCCAGCAAATGCCTTTGCTCTACCTGCACCTTTCCTCCCTTCCTGATGCTCCACCACATGGACCTCTAGGCGTCTGGAAAACAGAATCCTCAAGTTGATAGGCTTATCTCATTCATTCCTGCTCCTCCAGGCAAGGCAGCCATAATTTAGGGGTTCCTGGATGAAGTTGCAAGACAAGTTCATGCAGGACACACATACCAAATAGCAGATATTCTACCACCAGTGTCTCCTAGTCCAGTGAGGGATGTCCCCACCCGCCTGGTGCACAAGCAATGTGGATGTCATCCTTGACTTTTCCATCTCACTTCCCTCCTTTCTTGCACATATGCCAATCAATCACCACATCCTGATTCTACTTCCTAAATCTTAAATCTCTAAGATTGGCCCTCTCTTTATTCCTAGCTCATTCCACCATTATTTCTTGCTGGGATTTCTGCATTTGTCTCTAGCCTAACTCGCCTACCTGCCTCCAGCCTCACTAGGCCCAGATCCAGTCTCCACATCTGCTGTGTACTGAATGTCTGTATCTCCCTAAAGCTTGTTTGTGTGCTCTTTCTCTCTCTCTCCCTCTCTGCTTTCCAACACGGGAGGATACAGTGAGAAGATGGCCAACTGCAAACCAGGAAGCAGACCTTCTCCAGACACAGATCTGCTGATGCCTTGATCTTAGACTACCTTGCCTCCAGAATGGTGAGAAATAAATGTTGTTTAAGCCACTCAGTCTGTGGTATTCTGTTGTAGCAGCTTGGACTAAGACAATATCCCATTTAGAAGGATCTTGCAAATATATCAATCCTTTCCCTACGTAAAACTCTTATGCAGTTTCATTCTGGACTAAGGATGAGGTTCAAACTCCTTTGCCTGGCTCACAAGGCCTCCTAGATCTGGGCCCAACTGACTCTCCAGCCTCCTGTCTTGGCACAGCCTCCACTCTTACCTATATGCTTCACTTGTACTAAACACCATGTTTCTCTCCATCTTGATAAAAGTCCTCCCCCAATTTTTTTTTTGAGACGGCCTCACTCTGTCACTGTCACTGGGGTGCAGTGGTGTGATCTCAGCTCACTGCAGCCTTGATCTTCCCGGCTCAAGTGATTCTTCAAACTCAGCCCCTTGAGTAGCTGGGACTACAGGCATGCGCTACCATGCCCAGCAAATATTTTTGTATCTTGTAGAGACAGGGTTTTGCCATGTTGCCCAGGCTAGTCTCCAATTCCTGAGCTCAAGCGATTTGCCTGCCTCAGACTCCCATAGTGCTGAGATTACAGGCATGAGTTGCCGCACCTGGCTGTCCCCGACTTTTTGAGACTTTGTTTCACCTATTCCTCAGGTTTCCCAACTGTCTCCTCCTGCACCACCTGGCCCTTCCTCTGCTATAATATGAAAATCACAATATTGTTATTGTTCTTATATGACGTCTGCTTTCCCTGCCACACTAATACCTCTGCGATAGTATCCTCAATGCCTAGCACAATACCTAGTGCCAAATGGGAACACATAAATATTTATTAAATGAATGAAAGCTTTGAACATGGCACATAGCCCAGATGAGAGACTCTGGGGGTAAATGCAGTGGTGCTTCATAATCTAAAAGTCAGATAGGGTGGGACAGGCCTACTGCTTTTTAATAATAGCACTATTCACTGTTTTCAAGTGAATTTCAATCTTTCTGAGTTTTTTATTTCCTTATCTAAAAAATGAAAATAATAATAATTAGGGTTGCTCTGAAGGTGGCCAGAGATATATGTGTAACAAAGTATTTTGTAATTTTAAAATTCTCTCTCTCTCTCTCTCTCTCTCTATATATATATATGTTAGAAGTATTGTATTACTTCACTTGATCCTCACAATAACATTTTGAATAGACAGCTGACATTTCCTACTTTGCATATAAGGAAACTGAAGGTAGACATGGTAAAGCAATTTGCCTAAGGTCACCCAGATGGTTGCCAAGGAACAGAGGCCTGACATGGGATTTCAAGCTCAGACTCTCTCCGCCACATCACCACTGCTCCTCTCTCCATCCCCAAAGTAGGTATCGATGTTGGGACACGTACATGTTGACATCCTGAGGATCATGCAGCTCATAAATGTCACCACTGACCGCTTCTGAAGGGTTTTTATGTGTGTGTGGATGTGTTTGTTGAGGCACAGGGGGCAGAGGTGAGTTGTTGGTAGAAAATGGACTATATATCAACAGTTACCAAGATAGGAAAGAATGGGGTGGGGAGGAATTGGCCTTGGCCTTGGGTCTGACCCTATGCTCTCTATCTCTGCCCCTTCTCTTACTCTAATGGGGCTACCTCAATTGACAGCCCCCTTTACTGTGTAGTTGGACCCCCGCAGGCTCTGAGCTTCTCAGAAGCTGGAGATCTTCCATTTCCTCCATATTTTCAATTCTGTCCATCAGCAAATGTTTATTGAGCTCTTACCAAGTGCTTTGTCACAGCCCATGGAAGCCTGGCCAAATTGCTTAACCTCTCTGAGCCACAGTTTCCCCATTCTGCAAAATGGGATTGATAGCCCATCACATGGCTGTTGGGAGGATTAAGCAAGATAACCTATCAACTGTTGGTGAGCTGTTGCTAGTGGAGACACCTGCCCCCAAACCCCACCCTGTGTCTGCTATTTTTCATATGAATGCAAGGGGATGTCTGCTTAGTAACTAGGGGACAGAGCAGATCGGAGGAGCTGGGAAAGTGAGAAAAGGAGTATGAAGGCTGCAGTACTCCTCAATGTGCATTTGTCGGGGATATGTAGATGGCTGTGGGGCTCAGAGCTTGTTGGAACTCTTGAAGAATGACTTGTGAGTTTCTGGACCCAGGCAGAGCCCTTTGAGCTTGCAAAACAAGGTCAGGCACGGTGATGAGAGGCTTTCCCAAGCTCTTGGTGGGCGGGGAGCACGAACCACTGAGAGCCACAACAGGAGAGGCAGAGCAGAGCAGCCATCTTTTGGTGACCACAGCTGTGAGGGCTCATCTGAGGTCCCTTTTTGGGAACTCCCAGAAATAACTCAAGGGCATCTGAGAATGTAGATGAAATCATCAGACAAGATATTACAAACATAAAGAACGGAGGTGGTGCCAGGCACATAGTAGGAGCAGAGTGCCTCTGCCCCTCGGTCTTCTGATTATGCTGCCTTGGCACTAAGCATGTTTGTTTCTCACTGTGTCCTGTGCTGTAGGGAACACCCAGTGGAACTGCCCTTCACAGATCCCTGAGTGTGGTTACAGTGGTTTTTCTCTTTAAAGATTAAATCTTTTTTTCCCCTTTCTGCTCAACAAAGACAACAGCCTTTTGGTTTTTGATAAACGTTCTTTTCCTACTAGCAGGTGGATATGCCCGGGGCACTAAGAACTGTGCTTTTAAAACACACACAAGCCCAGCTGTTTGAATCTGCCACTTCTGTATGTCTTACTTCTCTTATCTCCTGCCCCCGGGGCTGAGTTTTCTCTGCCTTGGCAGGCTGATAACATGTGGAAGGAAGAGAACAGTTCTAATTAATAGACTAATTAGTGGTACAAGTCTTTAATAGCTGATTATAGGGAAGTCATTCCCCACCCCCCAAGTGATTGATTTATTTATTGCTGTTGTGCTGCATTATTGCAAAATAGTCAGCTTCTAATTATCTATTGGCTGGTTCAATCAAGCCTTTTCCTTCTCTTCCATCTTGTTCTTTCCCTTGCTAAGGGAAGGCACAGGCAGAATGGGAGAACTCAAGCCAGCTGATGACCAATTCTGGACAGATATAAGTGTTGGGATCCTACTGCCACTCCATCTTGAGTGCTTAGAGCTGGAAGGGGAATATGAGGTTCAAGGGAAAAGAAGGCAAGAAAATCCCACTCATTCTTCTAGGATAACGTCCCCATGGTGGCCATTCCCTCATCATCCCTCTGACTCTGCACGCCATAACTCACACACATTGTCAGTTGCATTAAAAAACAGTATAGTTAGGAAACAAGCATGAGAAGACACAAAAAGAAAAAAATTAAATACAAAATAGTGTAGCGTGGAGCTTAAAAGCATGCACTAGGCCGGGCGCAGGGGCTTACGCCTGTAATCCCAGCACTTTGGGAGGCCGAGGCAGGCAGATCACGAGGTCAGGAGATTGAGACCATCCTGGCTAACACGGTGAAACCCTGTCTCTACCAAAAACCACAAAAAATTAGCTGGGCGTGGTGGCGAGCTCCTGTAGTCCCAGCAACTGGGGAGGCTGAGGCAGGAGAATGGCGTGAACCCGGGAGGCGGAGGTTGCAGTGAGCCGAGATCACGCCACTGCACTCCAGCCTGGGTGACAGAGCGAGACTCCGTCTCAGGAAAAAAAAAAAAAAAAAAAGTGTGCACTGAAATTCAACAGCCTGGGTTCCACCTTGGCTCTCCCACTGGCTAGCTGTGTGATCTGGGGCAAGTCTCTTGACCTCACTGTGCCATATTCTCTAACCTCATTTGTAAAGTAGGAATATAATTGTTCCTCCCTAGGACTGTTGAGGATTAAATTTAAAAAGCTATGTAAAGCACTTAGCACAGTACCTAGTATATACTAAGCCCTCAAAAACATTAGCTATGACAATTACTACTGCCTGAAATTATTTAACTTACCTGACACATCAAAGGACTTTGGTAAATGTTTGTAGAATAAATGAGTGACTATATCGAAATTTTTAAGTAGATTGTGAGCCCTTGAAGTAAAAGGGGTGAAGAAAAGAGGAAATTGAACATTAAGTCATAATAATAAGGGCTATTTTAAGTTGAAAGCTTATCAAGAAGTGGGCTCTGAGCTACTTGCTTTAGTACATTCTCTCATTTAATCCTTATGTAACTTAATTTTTACCCGCGTTCTTGAATCATGTTTTATTAACAACCCAAGTCTGGAAAGTCCATGTTTTCCCAAGATATATTTTTATTTTATTTTATTTTTTTTACTTTGAGACAGAGTCTTGCTCTGTTGCCCAGTCATAGCTCACTGCAGACTCGAACTCCTGGGCCCAAGCGATCCTCCAGCCTCAGCCACCTGAGTATCTGGGGTGAGAGGTGCAAGCCACCATGCCTAGCTAAATTTGTTGTTGTTGTTGTTGTATTTTTTGTAGAGACGAAGTCTTGCTTTATTGCTCAGGCTGATCTCGAACTCCCAGCTTCAAGTGATCCTCCTGCCTTGACCTCTCAAAGTGCTAGGATTACAAGTGTGAGCCACCACACCCAGCCAAGATTTCCAAAAACTCTTGGGGCATGGAGTGACATTTTTTGTGATCACTTTTCCTTATGAATTCCTGCTCCAGCTGAATTTGGGCACTTTCACCTGCCTGCTGACAATGTTGTCCTCTTATCACATCACTCTCATTCATGGCAAGCGGGCCCCTTCTTTTCTTCTTTCCCCAAAGACTCCCAGGACTTAAGGTCATTTTGCCTGGAAGACTTTAACTAAAGGTCAGGGCAACATAGGACTGTGACAGCACCACTCGGACCAGGAAGTGCTGAAAATCGTCACACTAGCGTGCCCAGCACCCTTTTTCCTGGCTGCTCTGCCTCCCAGAGCCCTGCCTGCAGCCATTTCTCCCTTTCCCCAATCCTTTCCCTCCATCTCTCTACTGCCCTCCACCTCTCCCTGAAAATATCTGATTACTGTTACTTTATTATACAAAGGAAATTTAACTCTTTTGAACAAACATCTCCATTCTGGGCTATTCTCACTCTGAGATCAGAGAAGGAGCTGAGAATTGGATCCTCAGCTGCTTTTCTTAACCAAAAAAGTTGAACAAAGTGTTTATTCCTCCACAAATGAGTGAAGCACCTCTGTGAGGAATCCTGCTCCCCCCAGAATGAAGAAATATGGCAATCATTTTTTACATTACATTTTTTTCTTCCTGTTATACATATGGTAATACTATGAGGTGGATATTAGCCCTTGCCCCCTTTTTTTTCAGATGAGGAAACCAAGGATGGAAAAGGTTAAAAAAGTAATCTGCTCAAAGTGACATAGCTAACATGTCAGAGCTGGACCCCAAATGCAGGCATGTCTGACTCCAAAGCCAGAGGGGGTGACCACGACACCATGTGGCCGCTCGGTGCAGCTCAAGCAGGTCTGAAGTGGGTTGCATCCCCAGGGTGAATCTTACTCAGGAAACCTTTCACGGGGGACACTGTATGGGTCAGAGGAAGGTGAATTGATTGACTGAAGGCCAAATACATTAAAACAGAGTTAGAGCTAGGAATAGCTACCTATGTATAGCTTCATGTCTGAGACCCAAGAAGAGATGTTGCTATTAATCACTGCTGAATGATTACCCTGATTGCTTCATTTGTTGATGCTGCAGTTGCTGAATTTTACTGTGCTCTATTCAACCTTGAGTAGGGCCCCCCTCTCTAGGAAGCTAAGGCAGATTTTCTTTTGCTTGTGGAGTGCTGACTTCACATGTAAAACTGCCAATGACAAGTTGGTTGCCCATTGATGTCTAAGAATGCTAGCCAGGTAGCTGAAGCTCTTCTAAGAAGCTCAATAAATAGCTATGGAATGAATGAAAGAATGTCTCACTTTAATTTGTCAGTTCTCTTTCTAAGGACTTACCCAAGGCAGTGGGGGCTGAGGGGTGAGTTAGGCAGAACCAGATGAAGGAGCATCCCAGCTAGGAAGCGGGCTGGGTCACCACAATCATAAGGGATTCAAGAATATCACTGGAAATGGAGCAAGGTTGCAAAAACTGAATTTATCAGAACTCTTCCCAGAAACGGTAATGAATGTAGGTGGAGAGAATCTTTTTTTTCTTTTTCTTTTTCTTTTTTTTAAGACGGAGTCTCGCTCTGTCGCCCAGGCTGGAGTGCAGTGGGGCGATCTCGGCTCCCTGCAAGCTCCGTCTGCCGGGTTCACGCCATTCTCCTGCCTCAGCATCCCGAGTAGCTGGGTCTACAGGCGCCCGCCACCACGCCCGGCTAATTTTTTGTATTTTTAGTAGAGACGGGGTTTCACCGTGTTAGCCGGGATGGTCTTGATCTCCTGACCTCGTGATCCGCCCACCTCAGCCTCCCAAAGTGCTGAGATTACAGGCATGAGCCACCGTGCCTGGCCAAGAATTTTCTTTTTTAAAGACAGGGTCTCACTGTGTTGCCTAGGCTGGAGTGCTGTGGTGCGATCATGGCTCACTGCAGCCTTGACCTCTTTCCTGGGCTCAAGTGATCCTCCCACCTCAGCCTCCTGAGTATCTGGGACTACAGGTATGCGCCGTCACACCTGGCTAATTTATTTTTATTATTTTTTATTTGCATAGAGACAGATCTTGCTATGTTGCGTAGGCTGGTCTTGAACTCCTGGCCTCAAGCAATCCTCCTACCTCAGCCTCCCAAAATGCTGGGATTATAGCCATGAGCCACCATGCTAGCGGAGAAAATTATTTAATATATCACTGGTGGAACGGTCAGGAGGATTTTGCCACATATTAGCAATGTGACTTTGGCTTTCTCATACCTAAAATTAGGATTGTGATACTCATTGTACTTTTCCCCTCAATAAATGTGATAATGGAAAAATTACAGCTTTTCTAATTTGCCCTTTGGCCTACTATAATCTGGTCTCTGCCCTCCCCCACTCTCCTGACTGCTTTCACCAAGGTTATAAATCACCTCTTTGTTGAAAATTCCAATCCTCTGCCATTCAGTAGTATTAGCCACCGTATTCCAGGCTGTCTTCCATGACATATTCTCAAGATCCCAGGCTCATGGTTCTCCTGTCTCGACATATTCCCTTCTAACTCACCTTTGAGGTTTGTCTGTGTTCGTTATCTGTTGCTGCATAACAAATTACCCCAAAATTCAGAAGCTTAGAACAACATGGATAAAATGTGGCACATATACACCATGGAATACTATGCAGCCATAAAAAATGATGAGTTCATGTCTTTTGTAGGGACATGGATGAAGCTGGAAACCATCATTCTCAGCAAACTATCGCAAGGACAAAAAACCAAACACCGCATGTTCTCACTCATAGATGGGAATTGAACAGTGAGAACACATGGACACAGGAAGGGGAACATCACACTTTGGGGACTGTTGTGGGGTGGGGGGAGGGGGGAGGGATAGCATTAGGAGATATACCTAATGCTAAATGACAAGTTACTGGGTGCAGCACACCAGCATGGCACATGCATACATATGTAACTAACCTGCACATTGTGCACGTGTACCCTAAAACTGAAAGTATAATAATAATAAAAAAAAAACATGGATTCTCTCACACAGTTTCTTGATTTTTTTTTTTTTCTGACAAAATCTTGCCCTGTTGCCCAGGCTGGAGCGCAGTGGCACAAACACAGCTCACTGCAGCCTCAACCTTCTGGGCTCAAGCAATCCTTCTGCCTCACCTCCTGTGTAGCTGGCACTACAGGCACGTGCCATCATGCCTGGCTAATTTTTTAATTTGTTGTGGAGACAGGGGTTCTCATTATTTGCCTAGGCTGGTCTCAAACTCCTGGCCTCAAGCAATCCTCCCACCTCAGCCTCCTAAAGGGTTGGGTTTACAGCATGAGCCACCATACCTGGCCTCACGCAGTTTCTTAGGGTCAGCAATCTGGAGCAATTTAGCTGGGTGGAATGGCTTACCTGAGTTGTCTCGCTTGGGATGTCTCATGAGATTGCAGTTGTACTGTTTATGTATTTATTTGTGTTTAATTTAAAACTTTTTTTTAAAGGATACTCTTCTAAGGTTTTCCAAGCTTCCTCACATGGCTGTTGGGAGGAGGTTTCAGTTCTTCCCCACATGGAACTCCCTGTAGCCTACCATGACATGATAGATGGCTTCCCCCAGAACAAGGGATCCACAAGAATGAGCATGTAGCAAGCCTAGATGAAAGCCACAATGTCTTTTATGATGTAATCTCAGGAGTGACATGCCATCACTTCCACCCCTCTTGTCTGACAGGCCAACACTGATACAGTGTGAGAGGGGCTGACTACACAAAAGCCTGCCTGTGAAGAGGTGGTGTCATGGGCCACCTTGGAAGTTGTCTACTCCAATATCCTTCTTTGCTGACCCTGAAATGTCAGTGTCCGCCAGGATTTCATCCTCACACCTCATCTCTTCTCATTCTCCACACATGCCCTTGATACTCCAGGGTCCCCCAGTACCTTCCATTACCATCTAGATTCTAAAGACACCCATGTCTGCATCTTTACCACATTTCCCTCTCAAAAACTTCAGGGTTGCACGTTGCCTGTTGGAGCCCAGAGCACCTCAAAGTCCACACACTCCATAACGAACTCATCATCCCTCCAATTCGATTTCTCCTCTTGCACTTCCCTCTTGGGAAGGACAGTGCTGTCTACTCTGTTGCCAGGCAAGGAACCAGAAAGTCACTCCCTTTCTCTCATATCTAATCAGTGATTACCAAGACTTTTTAAAGTTTTTTTTTTCTTTTCATTTTTTCCCCATCTTTTTATTTTGAAAATTGTCAAACCTACAGAAAGGGCTGGAAGAAGACTAAAATGATTCATCATTTACTAGATTGCTTTCATGTAGATTCAAAATTGCTAATATTTTGTCTCATATTTGCTTTTTCTCCCCTTTCCCTCTCTCCATATATATTTTTTTCATAATACTACTAAGATGCTATTTACCTTTTCACTCTTATTATCTCACAGATATACTGTGTATGTGTGTATGAATATGATGGACATTTGAAAGTAAATTACAGACATTATGGCCCTTCATCCCTAAAGATTCCTGTGTGCATCTCTTAGAAATAAGAACATTCTCTTACATAACCAAAATGCCATTATTACACCTAAGAACCAAATCCAGTTGATTTCATCTTTCCACTATGGTCTCCAATTTATTTATTTATTTGTTTGTTTGTTTGTTTATTATTTTTTTGAGACAGAGTCTCACTCTGTTGCCCAGACTGGAGTGCAGTGGCATGATCTCGGCTCACTGCAATCTTTACCTCCCGGGTTCAAGTGATTCTTGTGCCTCAGCCTCCTGATTAGCTGGGATTACAGGCAGGCGCCACCATGCCCGGCTACTTTTGTATTTTTAGTAGAGGCAGGGTTTCACCATTTTGGCCAGGCTGCTCTCGAACTCCTGACCTCAAGTGATCCACCTGCCTCAGCCTCCCAGAGTGCTGGGATTACAGGCGTGTGCCACTGCGCCCAGCCATATGTCTCTGGTTTAGCCACTTTTCTTCAGGCCACAGTCTTCCTACCCTTCAATAATGCAATCACCTCCTAACCCTAACTGGTTCCTTCTTCAGTCCATGCTCCACACTGAAGCCAGAGTAAGCTTTCTAAAATGCAAATCTGATATGTCACTTCTCTACTTCAGACTTTTCAATGGCTCTACATTACCTTCAAAATAAAGAATAAGCTTTACATGACACACAAAGCCTTCATCATCTAAATTCATCTACAGCAGTACACTCCAGGAGAAATAAAATGTGAACCACGTATGTCATTTTAAATGTTCTATTATCCACATTCTAAAGATTTTAATAAATATAGCTTAAATTAATTTTAAAATACATTTTATTTAACCCAATATATCAAAAATATTATCATAGCAAAAAATACTCAATATAAAAACTATTAATGAAATATCTTACATTATTTTTTTCTAAGTCCCCAAAATCTGTCATGTATTTAACATATACAGCATATCTCAATTCAAATGCTAAATTTTGAAGGGTTAAAGTGAAATGTATTCCTACCAAAACTATAAGGTCATGTTTAACAACAACAACAAAACATTTTATGAGGTTCCAGTTTTTAAATTTGAGTTTATTAAATTACATATAGCTGGAAGTCCTGTCTCTCATTTGCACTAGCCACATTACAAGTGCTCAGCAGCCACATGTACTTAGATGCTACTGAAATAGTAACATATCTAGAGCCGCGGTTCTCAAAGCATGATCCAAGGTCCTCTGGGGGTTCCCTAAAACATTTCCAAGTGGTCTCTGAGGTCAAAACAATTTGAATAATAATACTACAAATCTATTTTCCTTTTTCACATTCATTCTTTCACAAGTATACAGTGGAGTGTTTCAGAGGCTACCCATCATATCACAACAGATTGAATACAGAAGCAGATAAAAGAATCAGCATTCGGGGGCTGGGCGCGGTGTCTCACACCTGTAATCCCAGCGCTTTGGGAGGCTGAGGTGGGTGGATCATGAGGTCAGGAGATCGAGACCAGCCTGGCTAACACGGTGAAACCCCATCTCTACTAAAAATACAAAAAAATTAGCCGGGCGTGGTGGCGGGTGCCTGTAGTCCCAGCTACTTGGGA